>NC_000018.10:20696389-20736025 GCF_000001405.40 Homo sapiens
AGCACTCTCAGAAACTACTTTGTGATATCTGCATTCAAGTCACAGAGTGGAACATTCCCTTTCTTAGAGCCGGTTTGAAACCGTCTTTTCTTGGAATCTGCAGGTGGATATTTGCATAGCTTCCAGGATTTCGTTGGAAACGGGATTACATATACAAAGTAGACAGTAGCATTCTCAGAAGCTTCTCTGAGATGTTTGCTTTTAAGTCACAGAGTTGAGCATTCCCTTTCATAGAGCAGGTTTGAAACACTCTTTCTGTAGTATCTGGAAGTGGACATTTCGAGGGCTTTCAGGCCTATGGTGAAAAAGGAAATATGTTCCCATAAAACCTAGACGGAAGTATTCTCAGAAACTTATTGTGATGTGTGTCCTCAACTAACAGAGTTGAACCTTTCTTTTGATACAGCAGTTTGAAAACACTCTTTTTGTAGAATCTGCAAGTGGATATTTGGATAACTTTGAAGATTTCGTTGGAAACGGGAAAATCTTCATGTAAAATCGAGACAGAAGCATTCTCAGAAACTGCTTTGTGATGTGTGTCCCCAAGTAACAGAGTACAACCTGTCTTTTGATACAGCAGTTTGGAAACACTCTTTCTGTAGAATCTGCAAGTGGATATTTGGATAGCTCAAGCTATTTCGTTGGAAACGGGAATAGCTTCTTATAAACACTAGACAGAAGCACTCTCCGAAACTACTTTGTGCTATCTGCATTCAAGTCACAGAGTTGAATATTCCCTTTCTTAGAGCAGGTTTGAAACCGTCTTTTCGTGGAATCTGCAGGAGGATATTTGGATAGCTTTGGGGATTTCGTCGGAAACGGGATTACATATACAAAGCAGACAGCAGCATTCTCAGGAGCTGCTTTGTGATGTTTGCTTTTAAGTCACGGAGTTGAACATTCCCTTTCATAGAGCAGGTTTCAAACACTCTTTCTCTAGTATCTGGAAGAGGACATTTCGAGCGCTTTCAGGCCTATGGTGAACAAGGAAATATCTTCCCATACAAACTTGACAGAAGCATTCTCACAAACTGGTTTGGGATGTATGTCCTCAGCTAACAGAGTACAACCTGTCTTTTGATACAGCAGTATTGAAACACTCTTTCTGTAGAATCTGCAAGTGGATATTTGGATAGCTCTAACGATTTCGTTGGAAACGGGAATACATTAGTATAAAATCTAGACACAGGCACTCTCAGAAACTGCTTTGTGATATGTGCATTCAAGTCACAGAGTTGAACATTCCCTTTATTGGAGCAGGTTTGAAACACTCTTTTTGTAGTATCTGGAAGTGGACATTTGGAGCGCTTTGACGCCTTTGGTGAAAAAGGAAATATCTTCCCATAAAAACTAGACAGAAGCATTCTCAGAAACTTCTTTGTGATGTGTGTCCTCAACTAACAGAGTTCAACCTCTCTTATGATACAGAAGTTTGGAAACACTCTTTTTGGGGAATATGCCAGGGGATATTTGGATAGCTCGAAGTATTTCGTTGGAAACGGGAATATCTTCATATAAAATCTAGACAGAAGCACTCTCAGAAACTATTTTGTGATATCTGCATTGAAGTCACAGAGTCGAACATTCCCTTTCTTAGAGCCGGTTTGAAACCGTCCTTTCTTGGAATCTGCAGGTGGATATTTGGATAGATTTCAGGATTTCGTTGGAAACGGGATTACATACACAAAGTAGACAGTAGCATTCTCAGAAGCTTCTCTGTGATGTTTGCTTTTAAGTCACAGAGTTGAGCATTCCCTTTCATAGAGCAGGTTTGAAACACTCTTTCTGTAGTATCTGGAAGTGGACTTTTCGAGCGCTTTCAGGCCTATGGTGAAAAAGGAAATATCTTCCCATAAAAACTAGACAGAAGCATTCTCAGAAACTTATTTGTGATGTGTGTCCTCAACTAACAGAGTTGAACCTTTCTTTTGATACAGCAGTTTGGAAACACTCTTTTTGTAGAATCTGCAAGTGGATATTTGGATAACTGTGAAGTTTTCGTTGGAAACGGGAATATCTTCATGTTAAATCGAGACAGAAGCATTCTCAGAAACTGCTTTGTGATGTCTGCATTCTCATCACAGAGTTGAACATTCGCTTTCATAGAGCAGGTTTGAAACACTCTTTCTGCAGTATCTGGATGTGGACTTTTGGAGCCCTTTGACGCTTACGGTGCAAAAGGAAATATCTCCCCATAAAAACTAGACAGAAGCATTCTCATAAACTCGTTTGTGATGTATGTCCTCAGCTAACAGAGTTGAACCTTTCTATTTACAGAGCACTTTTGAAAGACTCAATTGGAGAATCTGCAAGTGGATATTTGGAAAGCTTTAAGGTTTCAATTGGAAACCGGAATATCTTCAGGTAAAATCTAGACAAGGGCATTCTCAGAAACTTCTTTGTGATGTGTGTCCTCAAGTAACAGAGTACAACCTGTCTTTTGATACAGCAGTTTGGAAACACCCTTTCTGTAGAATCTGCAAGTGGATATTTGGATAGCTCAAGCTATTTCGTTGGAAACGGGAACATCTTCATATAAACCCTAGACAGAAGCACTCTCAGAAACTACTTTGTGATACCTGTATTCAAGTCACAGAGTTGAATATTCCCTTTCTTAGAGCAGATTTGAAACCGTCTTTTCGTGGAATCTGCAGGAGGATATTTGGATAGATTTGAGGATTTCGTTGGAAACGGGATTACATTTACAAAGTAGACAGCAGCATTGTCAGAAGCTGCTTTGTGATGTTTGCTTTTAAGTCACAGAGTGGAACATTCACATTCATAGAGCAGGTTTCAAACACTCTTTCTGTAGTATCTGGAAGAGGACATTTCGAGCGCTTTCAGGCCTATGGTGAACAAGGAAATATCTTCCCACAGAAACTTGACAGAAGTATTCTCACGAACTGGTTTGGGATGTATGTCCTCAGCTAACAGAGTACAGCCTGTCTTTTGATACAGCAGTATTGAAACACTCTTTCTGTAGAATCTGCAAGTGGATATTTGGATAGCTCTAACGATTTCGTTGGAAACGGGAATACTTTAGTATAAAATCTAGACAGAGGCACTCTCAGAAACTGCTTTGTGATATGTGCATTCAAGTCACAGAGTTGAACATTCCCTTTATTAGAGCAGGTTTGAAACACTCCTTTGTATTATCTGGAAGTGGACATTTGGAGCGCTTTGACGCCTTTGGTGAAAAAGGAAATATCTTCCCATAAAAACCAGACAGAAGCATTCTCAGAAACTTCTTTGTGATGTGTGTCCTCAACTAACAGAGTTCAACCTCTCTTATGATACAGAAGTTTGGAAACACTCTTTCTGTAGAACATGCAAGGGATATTTGGATAGCTCGAAGAATTTCGTTGGAAACGGGAATACCTTCATATAAAATCTAGACAGAAGCACTCTCAGAAACTACTTTGTGATATCTGCATTCAAGTCACAGAGTCGAACATTCCCTTTCTTAGAGCCGGTTTGAAACCGTCTTTTCTTGGAATCTGCAGGTGGATATTTGGATAGCTTTCAGGATTTCTTTGGAAACGGGATTACATATACAAATTAGACTGTAGCATTCTCAGTAAGCTTCTGTGTGATGTTTGCCTTTAAGTCACAGAGTTGAACATTCCCTTTCATAGAGCAGGTTTGAAACACTCTATCTGTAGCATCTGGAAGTGGACATTTGGAGCACTTTCAGGCCTATGGTGAAAAAGGAAATATCTTCCCATAAAAACTAGACAGAAGCATTCTCAGAAACTTATTTGTGATGTGTGTCCTCAACTAACAGAGTTGAACCTTTCTTTTGATACAGCAGTTTGGAAACACACATTTTGTAGAATCTGCAAGGGGATATTTGGATAACTTTGAAGATTTCGTTGGAAGCAGGAATATCTTCATGTAAAATCGAGAAAGAGGCATTGTCAGAAACTTCTTTGTGATGTGTGTCCTCAAGTAACAGAGTACAACCTGTCTTTTGATACAGTAGTTTGGAAACACTCTTTCTGTAAAATCTGCAAGTGGATATTTGGATAGCTCAAGCTATTTCTTTGGAAACGGGAATATCTTCATATAAACTCTAGACAGAAGCACTCTCAGTAACTAATTTGTGATATCTGTATTCAAGTCACAGAGTTGAATATTCCCTTTCTTAGATCAGGTTTGAAACCGTCTTTTCGTGGAATCTGCAGGAGGATATTTGGATAGCTTTGAGGATTTCGTTGGAAACCGGATTACATATACAAAGTAGACAGCAGCATTCTCAGGAGCTGCTTTGTGATGTTTGCTTTTAAGTCACAGAGTTGAACATTCCCTTTCATAGAGCAGGTTTCAAATACTCTTTCTCTAGTATCTGGAAGAGGACATTTCGAGCGCTTTCAGGCCTATGGTGAACAAGGAAATATCTTCCCATAGAAACTTGACAGAAGCATTCCCACAAACTGGTTTGGGATGTATGTCCTCAGCTAACAGAGTACAACCTGTCTTTTGATAGAGCAGTATTGAAACACTCTTTCTGTAGAATCTGCAAGTGGATATTTGGATAGCTCTAACGATTTCGTTGGAAACGGGAATACTTTAATATAAAATCTAGACAGAGGCACTCTCAGAAACTGCTTTGTGATATGTGCACTCAAGTCACGTAGTTGAACATTCCCTTTATTAGAGCAGGTTTGAAACACTCTTTTTGTAGTATCTGGAAGTGGACATTTGGAGCGCTTTGACGCCTTTGGTGAAAAAGGAAATATCTTCCCTAAAAAACTAGACAGAAGCATTCTCAGAAACTTCTTTGTGATGTGTGTCCTCAACTAACAGAGTTCAACCTCTCTTATGATACAGAAGTTTGGAAACACTCTTTTTGGGGAATATGCCAGGGGATATTTGGATAGCTCGAAGTATTTCTTTGGAAACGGGAATATCTTCATATAAAATCTAGACAGAAGCACTCTCAGAAACTATTTTGTGATATCTGCATTGAAGTCACAGAGTCGAACATTCCCTTTCTTAGAGCCGGTTTGAAACCGTCCTTTCTTGGAATCTGCAGGTGGATATTTGGATAGATTTCAGGATTTCGTTGGAAACGGGATTACATACACAAAGTAGACAGTAGCATTCTCAGAAGCTTCTCTGTGATGTTTGCTTTTAAGTCACAGAGTTGAGCATTCCCTTTCATAGAGCAGGTTTGAAACACTCTGTAGTATCTGGAAGTGGACTTTTCGAGCGCTTTCAGGCCTATGGTGAAAAAGGAAATATCTTCCCATAAAAACTAGACAGAAGCATTCTCAGAAACTTATTTGTGATGTGTGTCCTCAACTAACAGAGTTGAACCTTTCTTTTGATACAGCAGTTTGGAAACACTCTTTTTGTAGAATCTGCAAGTGGATATTTGGATAACTGTGAAGTTTTCGTTGGAAACGGGAATATCTTCATGTTAAATCGAGACAGAAGCATTCTCAGAAACTGCTTTGTGATGTCTGCATTCTCATCACAGAGTTGAACATTCGCTTTCATAGAGCAGGTTTGAAACACTCTTTCTGCAGTATCTGGATGTGGACATTTGGAGCCCTTTGACGCTTACGGTGCAAAAGGAAATATCTCCCCATAAAAACTAGACAGAAGCATTCTCACAAACTGGTTTGTGATGTATGTCCTCAGCTAACAGAGTTGAACCTTTCTATTTACAGAGCACTTTTGAAAGACTCAATTGGAGAATCTGCAAGTGGATATTTGGAAAGCTTTAAGGTTTCAATTGGAAACCGGAATATCTTCAGGTAAAATCTAGACAAGGGCATTCTCAGAAACTTCTTTGTGATGTGTGTCCTCAAGTAACAGAGTACAACCTGTCTTTTGATACAGCAGTTTGGAAACACCCTTTCTGTAGAATCTGCAAGTGGATATTTGGATAGCTCAAGCTATTTCGTTGGAAACGGGAACATCTTCATATAAACCCTAGACAGAAGCACTCTCAGAAACTACTTTGTGATATCTGTATTCAAGTCACAGAGTTGAATATTCCCTTTCTTAGAGCAGATTTGAAACCGTCTTTTCGTGGAATCTGCAGGAGGATATTTGGATAGATTTGAGGATTTCGTTGGAAACGGGATTACATTTACAAAGTAGACAGCAGCATTGTCAGAAGCTGCTTTGTGATGTTTGCTTTTAAGTCACAGAGTGGAACATTCACATTCATAGAGCAGGTTTCAAACACTCTTTCTGTAGTATCTGGAAGAGGACATTTCGAGCGCTTTCAGGCCTATGGTGAACAAGGAAATATCTTCCCATAGAAACTTGACAGAAGTATTCTCACGAACTGGTTTGGGATGTATGTCCTCAGCTAACAGAGTACAGCCTGTCTTTTGATACAGCAGTATTGAAACACTCTTTCTGTAGAATCTGCAAGTGGATATTTGGATAGCTCTAACGATTTCGTTGGAAACGGGAATACTTTAGTATAAAATCTAGACAGAGGCACTCTCAGAAACTGCTTTGTGATATGTGCATTCAAGTCACAGAGTTGAACATTCCCTGTATTAGAGCAGGTTTGAAACACTCTTTTTGTAGTATCTGGAAGTGGACATTTGGAGCGCTTTGACGCCTTTGGTGAAAAAGGAAATATCTTCCCTAAACAACTAGACAGAAGCATTCTCAGAAACTTCTTTGTGATGTGTGTCCTCAACTAACAGAGTTCAACCTCTCTTATGATACAGAAGTTTGGAAACACTCTTTTTGGAGAATATGCCAGGGGATATTTGGATAGCTCGAAGTATTTCGTTGGAAAAGGGAATACCTTCATATAAAATCTAGACAGAAGCACTCTCAGAAACTACTTTGTGATATCTGCATTCAAGTCACAGAGTCGAACATTCCCTTTCTTAGAGCCGGTTTGAAACCGTCCTTTCTTGGAATCTGCCGGTGGATATTTGGATAGCTTTCAGGATTTCTTTGGAAACGGGATTACATATACAAATTACACTGTAGCATTCTCAGAAGCTTCTTTGTGATGTTTGCTTTTAAGTCACAAAGTTGAAAATTCCCTTTCATAGAGGAGGTTTCAAACACTCTTTCTGTAGTATCTGGAAGTGGACATTTCGAGCACTTTCAGGCCTATGGTGAAAAAGGAAATATCTTCCCATAAAAACTAGACAGAAGCATTCTCAGAAACTTATTTGTGATGTGTGTCCTCAACTAACAGATTTGAACCTTTCTTTTGATACAGCAGTTTGGAAACACTCTTTTTGTAGAATCTGCAAGTCGATATTTGGATAACTCTGAAGATTTCGTTGGAAACGGGAATATCTTCATGTAAAATCGAGAGAGAAGCATTCTCAGAAACTGCTTTGTGATGTGTGTCCCCAAGTAACAGAGTACAACCTGTCTTTTGATACAGCAGTTTGGAAACACTCTTTCTGTAGAATCTGCAAGTGGATATTTGGATAGCTCAAGCTATTTCGTTGGAAACGGGAATAGCTTCTTATAAACACTAGACAGAAGCACTCTCAGAAACTACTTTGTGATATCTGTATTCAAGTCACAGAGTTGAATATTCCCTTTCTTAGAGCAGGTATGAAACCGTCTTTTCGTGGAATCTGCAGGAGGATATTTGGATAGCTTTGAGGATTTCGTTGGAAACGGGATTACATATACAAAGTAGACAGCAGCTTTCTCAGAAGCTGCTTTGTGATGTTTGCTTTTAAGTCACAGAGTTGAACATTCCCTTTCATAGAGCAGGTTTCAAACACTCTTTCTCTAGTATATGGAAGAGGACATTTCGAGCGCTTTCAGGCCTATGGTGAACAAGGAAATATCTTCCCATACAAACTTGACAGAAGCATTCTCACAAACTGGTTTGGGATGTATGTCCTCAGCTAACAGAGTACAACCTGTCTTTTGATACAGCAGTATTGAAAGACTCTTTCTGTAGAATCTGCAAGTGGATATTTGGATAGCTCTAACGATTTCTTTGGAAACGGGAATAACTTAATGCAAAATCTAGACAGAGGCACTCTCAGAAACTGCTTTGTGATATGTGCACTCAACTCACGTAGTTGAAAATTCCCTTTATTAGAGCAGGTTTGAAACACTCTTTTTGTAGTATCTGGAAGTGGACATTTGGAGCGCTTTGACGCCTTTGGTGAAAAAGGAAATATCTTCCCTAAAAAACTAGACAGAAGCATTCTCAGAAACTTCTTTGTGATGTGTGTCCTCAACTAACAGAGTTCAACCTCTCTTATGATACAGAAGTTTGGAAACACTCTTTTTGGAGAATATGCCAGGGGATATTTGGATAGCTCGAAGTATTTCTTTGGAAACGGGAATATCTTCATATAAAATCTAGACAGAAGCACTCTCAGAAACTATTTTGTGATATCTGCATTGAAGTCACAGAGTCGAACATTCCCTTTCTTAGAGCCGGTTTGAAACCGTCCTTTCTTGGAATCTGCAGGTGGATATTTGGATAGATTTCAGGATTTCGTTGGAAACGGGATTACATACACAAAGTAGACAGTAGCATTCTCAGAAGCTTCTCTGTGATGTTTGCTTTTAAGTCACAGAGTTGAGCATTCCCTTTCATAGAGCAGGTTTGAAACACTCTTTCTGTAGTATCTGGAAGTGGACTTTTCGAGCGCTTTCAGGCCTATGGTGAAAAAGGAAATATCTTCCCATAAAAACTAGACAGAAGCATTCTCAGAAACTTATTTGTGATGTGTGTCCTCAACTAACAGAGTTGAACCTTTCTTTTGATACAGCAGTTTGGAAACACTCTTTTTGTAGAATCTGCAAGTGGATATTTGGATAACTGTGAAGTTTTCGTTGGAAACGGGAATATCTTCATGTTAAATCGAGACAGAAGCATTCTCAGAAACTGCTTTGTGATGTCTGCATTCTCATCACAGAGTTGAACATTCGCTTTCATAGAGCAGGTTTGAAACACTCTTTCTGCAGTATCTGGATGTGGACATTTGGAGCCCTTTGACGCTTACGGTGCAAAAGGAAATATCTCCCCATAAAAACTAGACAGAAGCATTCTCATAAACTGGTTTGTGATGTATGTCCTCAGCTAACAGAGTTGAACCTTTCTATTTACAGAGCACTTTTGAAAGACTCAATTGGAGAATCTGCAAGTGGATATTTGGAAAGCTTTAAGGTTTCAATTGGAAACCGGAATATCTTCAGGTAAAATCTAGACAAGGGCATTCTCAGAAACTTCTTTGTGATGTGTGTCCTCAAGTAACAGAGTACAACCTGTCTTTTGATACAGCAGTTTGGAAACACCCTTTCTGTAGAATCTGCAAGTGGATATTTGGATAGCTCAAGCTATTTCGTTGGAAACGGGAACATCTTCATATAAACCCTAGACAGAAGCACTCTCAGAAACTACTTTGTGATATCTGTATTCAAGTCACAGAGTTGAATATTCCCTTTCTTAGAGCAGATTTGAAACCGTCTTTTCGTGGAATCTGCAGGAGGATATTTGGATAGATTTGAGGATTTCGTTGGAAACGGGATTACATTTACAAAGTAGACAGCAGCATTGTCAGAAGCTGCTTTGTGATGTTTGCTTTTAAGTCACAGAGTGGAACATTCACATTCATAGAGCAGGTTTCAAACACTCTTTCTGTAGTATCTGGAAGAGGACATTTCGAGCGCTTTCAGGCCTATGGTGAACAAGGAAATATCTTCCCATAGAAACTTGACAGAAGTATTCTCACGAACTGGTTTGGGATGTATGTCCTCAGCTAACAGAGTACAGCCTGTCTTTTGATACAGCAGTATTGAAACACTCTTTCTGTAGAATCTGCAAGTGGATATTTGGATAGCTCTAACGATTTCGTTGGAAACGGGAATACTTTAGTATAAAATCTAGACAGAGGCACTCTCAGAAACTGCTTTGTGATATGTGCATTCAAGTCACACAGTTGAACATTCCCTTTATTGGAGCAGGTTTGAAACACTCTTTTTGTAGTATCTGGAAGTGGACATTTGGAGCGCTTTGACGCCTTTGGTGAAAAAGGAAATATCTTCCCATAAAAACTAGACAGAAGCATTCTCAGAAACTTCTTTGTGATGTGTGTCCTCAACTAACAGAGTTCAACCTCTCTTATGATACAGAAGTTTGGAAACACTCTTTCTGTAGAACATGCAAGGGGATATTTGGATAGCTCGAAGAATTTCCTTGGAAAGGGGAATACCTTCATATAAAATCTAGACAGAAGCACTCTCAGAAACTACTTTGTGATATCTGCATTCAAGTCACAGAGTCGAACATTCCCTTTCTTAGAGCAGGTTTGAAACCGTCTTTTCTTGGAATCTGCAGGCGGATATTTGGAAAGCTTTCAGGAATTCCTTGGAAAGGGGATTACATATACAAAGTAGACAGTAGCATTCTCAGAAGCTTCTCTGTGATGTTTGCTTTTAAGTCACAGAGTTGAGAATTCCCTTTCATAGAGCAGGTTTGAAACACTCTTTCTGTAGTATCTGGAAGTGGACATTTCGAGGGCTTTCAGGCCTATGGTGAAAAAGGAAATATCTTCCCATAAAAACTAGACAGAAGCATTCTCAGAAACTTATTTGTGAAATGTGTCCTCAAGTAACAGAGTTGAACCTTTCTTTTGGTACAGCAGTTTGGAAACACCCTTTTTGTAGAATCTGCAAGTGGATATTTGGATAACTTTGAAGATTTCGTTGGAAACAGGAATATCTTCATGTGAAATCGAGACAGAAGTATTCTCAGAAACTGCTTTGTGATGTCTGCATTCTCATCACAGAGTTGAAGATTCGCTTTCATAGAGCAGGTTTGAAACACTCTTTCTGCAGTATCTGGATGTGGACACTTGGAGCGCTTTGACGCTTACGGTGCAAAAGGAAATATCTTCCCATAAAAACTAGACAGAAGCATTCTCATAAACTGGTTTGTGATGTATGTCCTCAGCTAACAGAGTTGAACCTTTCTATTTACAGAGCACTTTTGAAAGACTCAATTGGAGAATCTGCAAGTGGATATTTGGAAAGCTTTAAGGTTTCAATTGGAAACCGGAATATCTTCAGGTAAAATCTAGACAAGGGCATTCTCAGAAACTTCTTTGTGATGTGTGTCCTCAAGTAACAGAGTACAACCTGTCTTTTGATACAGCAGTTTGGAAACACCCTTTCTGTAGAATCTGCAAGTGGATATTTGGATAGCTCAAGCTATTTCGTTGGAAACGGGAACATCTTCATATAAACCCTAGACAGAAGCACTCTCAGAAACTACTTTGTGATACCTGTATTCAAGTCACAGAGTTGAATATTCCCTTTCTTAGAGCAGATTTGAAACCGTCTTTTCGTGGAATCTGCAGGAGGATATTTGGATAGATTTGAGGATTTCGTTGGAAACGGGATTACATTTACAAAGTAGACAGCAGCATTGTCAGAAGCTGCTTTGTGATGTTTGCTTTTAAGTCACAGAGTGGAACATTCACATTCATAGAGCAGGTTTCAAACACTCTTTCTGTAGTATCTGGAAGAGGACATTTCGAGCGCTTTCAGGCCTATGGTGAACAAGGAAATATCTTCCCATAGAAACTTGACAGAAGTATTCTCACGAACTGGTTTGGGATGTATGTCCTCAGCTAACAGAGTACAGCCTGTCTTTTGATACAGCAGTATTGAAACACTCTTTCTGTAGAATCTGCAAGTGGATATTTGGATAGCTCTAACGATTTCGTTGGAAACGGGAATACTTTAGTATAAAATCTAGACAGAGGCACTCTCAGAAACTGCTTTGTGATATGTGCATTCAAGTCACAGAGTTGAACATTCCCTGTATTAGAGCAGGTTTGAAACACTCTTTTTGTAGTATCTGGAAGTGGACATTTGGAGCGCTTTGACGCCTTTGGTGAAAAAGGAAATATCTTCCCTAAACAACTAGACAGAAGCATTCTCAGAAACTTCTTTGTGATGTGTGTCCTCAACTAACAGAGTTCAACCTCTCTTATGATACAGAAGTTTGGAAACACTCTTTCTGTAGAACATGCAAGGGGATATTTGGATAGCTCGAAGAATATCGTTGGAAACGGGAATACCTTCATATAAAATCTACACAGAATCATTCTCAGAAACTTATTTGTGATGTATGTCCTCAACTAACGGAGTTGAACCTTTCTTTTGATACAGCAGTTTGGAAACACTCTTTTTGTAGAATCTGCAAGTGGATATTTGGATAACTTTGAAGATTTCGTTGGAAACGGGAATATCTTCATGTAAAATCGAGACAGAAGCATTCTGAGAACCTTCTCTGTGTTGTTTGCATTCAAGTTACAGAGTCGAACATTCCCTTTCATAGAGTAGGTTTGAAACACTCTTTCTCTAGTATCTGGAACTGGACATTTCGAGCACTTTTAGGCCTATGGTGAAAAAGGAAATATCTTCCCATAAAAACTAGACGGAAGCATTCTCAGAAACTTATTTGTGATGTGTGTCCTCAACTAACAGAGTTGAACCTTTCTTTTGATACAGCAGTTTGGAAACACTCTTTTTGTAGAATCTGCAAGTGGATATTTGGATAACTTTGAAGATTTCTTTGGAAACGGGAATATCTTCATGTTAAATCGAGAAAGAAGCATTCTCAGAAACTGCTTTGTGATGTGTGTCCCCAAGTAACAGAGTACAACCTGTCTTTTGATACAGCAGTTTGGAAACACTCTTTCTGTAGAATCTGCAAGTGGATATTTGGATAGCTCAAGCTATTTCGTTGGAAACGGGAATAGCTTCTTATAAACACTAGACAGAAGCACTCTCAGAAACTACTTTTTGATATCTGCATTCAAGTCACAGAGTCGAACATTCCCTTTCTTAGAGCAGGTTTGAAACCGTCTTTTCGTGGAATCTGCAGGAGGATATTTGGATAGCTTTCAGGAATTCGTTGGAAACGGGATTACATATACAAAGTAGACAGTAGCATTCTCAGGAGCTGCTTTGTGATGTTTGCTTTTAAGTCACAGAGTTGAACATTCCCTTTCATAGAGCAGGTTTCAAATACTCTTTCTCTAGTATCTGGAAGAGGACATTTCGAGCGCTTTCAGGCCTATGGTGAACAAGGAAATATCTTCCCATAGAAACTTGACAGAAGCATTCTCACAAACTGGTTTGTGATGTAGGTCCTCAACTAACAGAGTACAACCTGTCTTTTGATACAGCAGTATTGAAACACTCTTTCTGTAGAATCTGCAATTGGATCTTTGGATAGCTCTAACGATTTCGTTGGATAAGGGAATACCTTCATATAAAATCTAGACAGAGGCACTCTCAGAAACTGCTTTGTGATATGTGCACTCAAGTCACATAGTTGAACATTCCCTTTATTAGAGCAGGTTTGAAACACTCTTTTTGTAGTATCTGGAAGTGGACACTTGGAGCGCTTTGACGCCTTTGGTGAAAAAGGAAATATCTTCCGTAAAAAACTAGACAGAAGCATTCTCAGAAACTTCTTTGTGATGTGTTTCGTAAACTAACAGAGTTCAACCTCTCTTATGATACAGAAGTTTGGAAACACTCTTTTGGAGAATATGCAAGGGGATATTTGGATAGCTCGAAGTATTTCGTTGGAAACGGGAATATCTTCATATAAAATCTAGACAGAAGCACTCTCAGAAACTACTTTGTGATATCTGCATTCAAGTCACAGAGTCGAACATTCCCTTTCTTAGAGCAGGTTTGAAACCGTCTTTTCGTGGAATCTGCAGGAGGATATTTGGATAGCTTTCAGGAATTCGTTGGAAACGGGATTACATATACAAAGTAGACAGTAGCATTCTCAGAAGCTTCTCTGTGATGTTTGCTTTTAAGTCACAGAGTTGAGCATTCCCTTTCATAGAGCAGGTTTGAAACACTCTTTCTGTAGTATCTGGAAGTGGACATTTCGAGGGCTTTCAGGCGTATGGTGAAAAAGGAAATATCTTCCCATAAAAACTAGACAGAAGCATTCTCAGAAACTTATTTGTGATGTGTGTCCTCAACTAACAGAGTTGAACCTTTCTTTTGATACAGCAGTTTGGAAACACTCTTTTTGTAGAATCTGCAAGTGGATATTTGGATAACTGTGAAGTTTTCGTTGGAAACGGGAATATCTTCATGTTAAATCGAGACAGAAGCATTCTCAGAAACTGCTTTGTGATGTCTGCATTCTCATCACAGAGTTGAACATTCGCTTTCATAGAGCAGGTTTGAAACACTCTTTCTGCAGTATCTGGATGTGGACTTTTGGAGCCCTTTGACGCTTACGGTGCAAAAGGAAATATCTCCCCATAAAAACTAGACAGAAGCATTCTCATAAACTGGTTTGTGATGTATGTCCTCAGCTAACAGAGTTGAACCTTTCTATTTACAGAGCACTTTTGAAAGACTCAATTGGAGAATCTGCAAGTGGATATTTGGAAAGCTTTAAGGTTTCAATTGGAAACCGGAATATCTTCAGGTAAAATCTAGACAAGGGCATTCTCAGAAACTTCTTTGTGATGTGTGTCCTCAAGTAACAGAGTACAACCTGTCTTTTGATACAGCAGTTTGGAAACACCCTTTCTGTAGAATCTGCAAGTGGATATTTGGATAGCTCAAGCTATTTCGTTGGAAACGGGAACATCTTCATATAAACCCTAGACAGAAGCACTCTCAGAAACTACTTTGTGATATCTGTATTCAAGTCACAGAGTTGAATATTCCCTTTCTTAGAGCAGGTTTGAAACCGTCTTTGGGTAGAATCTGCAGGAGGATATTTGGATAGCTTTGAGGAGTTCGTTGGAAACGGGATTACAAGTACAAAGTAGATAGCAGCATTCTCAGAAGCTGCTGTGTGATGTTTGCTTTTAAGTCAGAGAGTTGAACATTCCCTTTCATAGAGCAGGATTCAAACACTCTTTCTGTAGTATCTGGAAGAGGACATTTCGAGCGCTTTCAGGCATATGGTGAACAAGGAAATATCTTCCCATAAAAACTTGACAGAAGCATTCTCACAAACTGGTTTGGGATGTATGTCCTCAGCTAACAGAGTACAACCTGTCTTTTGATACAGCAGTATTGAAACACTCTTTCTGTAGAATCTGCAAGTGGATATTTGGATAGCTCTAACGATTTCGTTGGAAACGGGAATACTTTAGTATAAAATCTAGACAGAGGCACTCTCAGAAACTGCTTTGTGATATGCGCATTCAAGTCACAGAGTTGAACATTCCCTTTATTAGAGCAGGTTTGAAACACTCTTTTTATAGTATCTGGAAGTGGACATTTGCAGCGCTTTGACGCCTTTGGGGAAAAAGGAAATATCTTCCTTAAAAAACTAGAGAGAAGCATTCTCAGAAACTTTTTGTGATGTGTGTCCTCAACTAACAGAGTTCAACCACTCTTATGTTACAGAAGTTTGGAAACACTCTTTTTGTAGAATATGCAAGGGGATATTTGGATAGCTCGAAGTATTTCGTTGGAAACGGGAATATCTTCATATAAAATCTAGACAGAAGCACTCTCAGAAACTATTTTGTGATATCTGCATTGAAGTCACAGAGTCGAACATTCCCTTTCTTAGAGCCGGTTTGAAACCGTCCTTTCTTGGAATCTGCAGGTGGATATTTGGATAGATTTCAGGATTTCGTTGGAAACGGGATTACATACACAAAGTAGACAGTAGCATTCTCAGAAGCTTCTCTGTGATGTTTGCTTTTAAGTCACAGAGTTGAGCATTCCCTTTCATAGAGCAGGTTTGAAACACTCTTTCTGTAGTATCTGGAAGTGGACTTTTCGAGCGCTTTCAGGCCTATGGTGAAAAAGGAAATATCTTCCCATAAAAACTAGACAGAAGCATTCTCAGAAACTTATTTGTGATGTGTGTCCTCAACTAACAGAGTTGAACCTTTCTTTTGATACAGCAGTTTGGAAACACTCTTTTTGTAGAATCTGCAAGTGGATATTTGGATAACTGTGAAGTTTTCGTTGGAAACGGGAATATCTTCATGTTAAATCGAGACAGAAGCATTCTCAGAAACTGCTTTGTGATGTCTGCATTCTCATCACAGAGTTGAACATTCGCTTTCATAGAGCAGGTTTGAAACACTCTTTCTGCAGTATCTGGATGTGGACTTTTGGAGCCCTTTGACGCTTACGGTGCAAAAGGAAATATCTCCCCATAAAAACTAGACAGAAGCATTCTCATAAACTGGTTTGTGATGTATGTCCTCAGCTAACAGAGTTGAACCTTTCTATTTACAGAGCACTTTTGAAAGACTCAATTGGAGAATCTGCAAGTGGATATTTGGAAAGCTTTAAGGTTTCAATTGGAAACCGGAATATCTTCAGGTAAAATCTAGACAAGGGCATTCTCAGAAACTTCTTTGTGATGTGTGTCCTCAAGTAACAGAGTACAACCTGTCTTTTGATACAGCAGTTTGGAAACACCCTTTCTGTAGAATCTGCAAGTGGATATTTGGATAGCTCAAGCTATTTCGTTGGAAACGGGAACATCTTCATATAAACCCTAGACAGAAGCACTCTCAGAAACTACTTTGTGATATCTGTATTCAAGTCACAGAGTTGAATATTCCCTTTCTTACAGCAGGTTTGAAACCGTCTTTTCGTGGAATCTGCAGGAGGATATTTGGATAGCTTTGAGGATTTCGTTGGAAACGGGATTACATGTACAAAGTAGACAGCATCATTCTCAGAAGCTGCTGTGTGATGTTTGCTTTTAAGTCACAGAGTTGAACATTCCCTTTCATAGAGCAGGTTTCCAACACTCTTTCTGTAGTATCTGGAAGAGGACATTTCGAGCGCTTTCAGGCCTATGGTGAACAAGGGATTATCTTCCCATAAAACTTGACAGAAGCATTCTCACAAACTGGTTTGGGATGTATGTCCTCAGCTAACAGAGTACAGCCTGTCTTTTGATACAGCAGTATTGAAACACTCTTTCTGTAGAACCTGCAAGTGGATATTTGGATAGCTCTAACGATTTCGTTGGAAACGGGAATACTTTAGTATAAAATCTAGACAGAGGCACTCTCAGAAACTGCTTTGTGATATGTGCACTCAACTCACGTAGTTGAACATTCCCTTTATTAGAGCAGGTTTGAAACACTCTTTTTGTAGTATCTGGAAGTGGACATTTGGAGCGCTTTGACGCCTTTGGTGAAAAAGGAAATATCTTCCCTAAAAAACTAGACAGAAGCATTCTCAGAAACTTCTTTGTGATGTGTGTCTTCAACTAACAGAGTTCAACCACTATTATGATACAGAAGTTTGGAAACACTCTTTTTGGAGAATATGCCAGGGGATATTGGGATAGCTCGAAGTATTTCGTTTTAAACGGGAATATCTTCATATAAAATCTAGACAGAAGCACTCTCAGAAACTATTTTGTGATATCTGCATTGAAGTCACAGAGTCGAACATTCCCTTTCTTAGAGCCGGTTTGAAACCGTCCTTTCTTGGAATCTGCAGGTGGATATTTGGATAGATTTCAGGATTTCGTTGGAAACGGGATTACATACACAAAGTAGACAGTAGCATTCTCAGAAGCTTCTCTGTGATGTTTGCTTTTAAGTCACAGAGTTGAGCATTCCCTTTCATAGAGCAGGTTTGAAACACTCTTTCTGTAGTATCTGGAAGTGGACTTTTCGAGCGCTTTCAGGCCTATGGTGAAAAAGGAAATATCTTCCCATAAAAACTAGACAGAAGCATTCTCAGAAACTTATTTGTGATGTGTGTCCTCAACTAACAGAGTTGAACCTTTCTTTTGATACAGCAGTTTGGAAACACTCTTTTTGTAGAATCTGCAAGTGGATATTTGGATAACTGTGAAGTTTTCGTTGGAAACGGGAATATCTTCATGTTAAATCGAGACAGAAGCATTCTCAGAAACTGCTTTGTGATGTCTGCATTCTCATCACAGAGTTGAACATTCGCTTTCATAGAGCAGGTTTGAAACACTCTTTCTGCAGTATCTGGATGTGGACTTTTGGAGCCCTTTGACGCTTACGGTGCAAAAGGAAATATCTCCCCATAAAAACTAGACAGAAGCATTCTCACAAACTGGTTTGTGATGTATGTCCTCAGCTAACAGAGTTGAACCTTTCTATTTACAGAGCACTTTTGAAAGACTCAATTGGAGAATCTGCAAGTGGATATTTGGAAAGCTTTAAGGTTTCAATTGGAAACCGGAATATCTTCAGGTAAAATCTAGACAAGGGCATTCTCAGAAACTTCTTTGTGATGTGTGTCCTCAAGTAACAGAGTACAACCTGTCTTTTGATACAGCAGTTTGGAAACACTCTTTCTGTAGGATCTGCAAGTGGATAGTTGGATAGCTCAAGCTATTTCGTTGGAAACGGGAATATCTTCATATAAACTCTAGACAGAAGCACTCTCAGAAACTACTTTGTGATATCTGTATTCAAGTCACAGAGTTGAATATTCCCTTTCTTACAGCAGGTTTGAAACCGTGTTTTCGTGGAATCTGCAGGAGGATATTTGGATAGATTTGAGGATTTCTTTGGAAACGGGATTACATGTACAAAGTAGACAGCAGCATTCTCAGAAGCTGCTTTGTGATGTTTGCTTTTAAGTCACAGAGTGGAACATTCACTTTCATAGAGCAGGTTTCAAACACTCTTTCTGTAGTATCTGGAAGAGGATATTTCGAGCGCTTTCAGGCGTATGGTGAACAAGGAAATATATTCCCATACAAACTTGACAGAAGCATTCTCACAAACTGGTTTGGGATGTATGTCCTCAGCTAACAGAGTACAGCCTGTCTTTTGATACAGCAGTATTGAAACACTCTTTCTGTAGAATCTGCAAGTGGATATTTGGATAGCTCTAACGATTTCTTTGGAAACGGGAATACTTTAGTATAAAATCTAGACAGAGGCACTCTCAGAAACTGCTTTTTGATATGTGCATTCAAGTCACAGAGTTGAACATTCCCTTTATTAGAGCAGGTTTGAAACACTCTTTTTGTAGTATCTGGAAGTGGACATTTGGAGTGCTTTGACGCCTTTGGTGAAAAAGGAAATATCTTCCCTAAACAACTAGACAGAAGCATTCTCAGAAACTTCTTTGTGATGTGTGTCTTCAACTAACAGAGTTCAACCACTATTATGATACAGAAGTTTGGAAACACTCTTTTTGGAGAATATGCCAGGGGATATTGGGATAGCTCGAAGTATTTCGTTTTAAACGGGAATATCTTCATATAAAATCTAGACAGAAGCAGTCTCAGAAACTACTTTGTGATATCTGCATTCAAGCCACAGTGTCGAACATTCCCTTTCTTAGAGCCGATTTGAAACCGACTTTTCTTGGAATCTGCAGGTGGATATTTGGATAGCTTTCAGGATTTCTTTGGAAACGGGATTACATATACAAATTAGACAGTAGCATTCTCAGAAGCTTCTCTGTGATGTTTGCTTTTAAGTCACAGAGTTGAGCATTCCCTTTCATAGAGCAGGTTTGAAACACTCTTTCTGTAGTATCTGGAAGTGGACATTTCGAGGGCTTTCAGGCCTATGGTGAAAAAGGAAATATCTTCCCATAAAAACTAGACAGAAGCATTCTCAGAAACTTATTTGTGATGTGTGTCCTCAACTAACAGAGTTGAACCTTTCTTTTGATACAGCAGTTTGGAAACACTCTTTTTGTAGAATCTGCAAGTGGATATTTGGATAACTTTGAAGATTTCTTTGGAAACGGGAATATCTTCATGTTAAATCGAGAAAGAAGCATTCTCAGAAACTGCTTTGTGATGTGTGTCCCCAAGTAACAGAGTACAACCTGTCTTTTGATACAGCAGTTTGGAAACACTCTTTCTGTAGAATCTGCAAGTGGATATTTGGATAGCTCAAGCTATTTCGTTGGAAACGGGAATAGCTTCTTATAAACACTAGACAGAAGCACTCTCAGAAACTACTTTGTGATATCTGTATTCAAGTCACAGAGTTGAATATTCCCTTTCTTAGAGCAGGTTTGAAACCGTCTTTTCGTGGAATCTGCAGGAGGATATTTGGATAGCTTTGAGGATTTCGTTGGAAAAGGGATTACATGTACAAAGTAGATAGCAGCATTCTCAGGAGCTGCTTTGTGATGTTTGCTTTTAAGTCACGGAGTTGAACATTCCCTTTCATAGAGCAGGTTTCAAACACTCTTTCTCTAGTATCTGGAAGAGGACATTTCGAGCGCTTTCAGGCCTATGGTGAACAAGGAAATATCTTCCCATAGAAACTTGACAGAAGCATTCTCACAAACTGGTTTGGGATGTATGTCCTCAGCTAACAGAGTACAGCCTGTCTTTTGATACAGCAGTATTGAAACACTCTTTCTGTAGAATCTGCAAGTGGATATTTGGATAGCTCTAACGATTTCGTTGGAAACGGGAATACTTTAGTATAAAATCTAGACACAGGCACTCTCAGAAACTGCTTTGTGATATGTGCATTCAAGTCACAGAGTTGAACATTCCCTTTATTAGAGCAGGTTTGAAACACTCTTTTTGTAGTATCTGGAAGTGGACATTTGGAGCGCTTTGACGCCTTTGGTGAAAAAGGAAATATCTTCCCTAAAAAACTAGACAGAAGCATTCTCAGAAACTTCTTTGTGATGTGTGTCCTCAACTAATAGAGTTCAAACTCTCTTATGATACAGAAGTTTGGAAACAGTCTTTTTGGAGAATATGCCAGGGGATATTTGGATAGCTCGAAGTATTTCGTTGGAAACGGGAATATCTTCATGTTAAATCGAGACAGAAGCACTCTCAGAAACTATTTTGTGATATCTGCATTGAAGTCACAGAGTCGAACATTCCCTTTCTTAGAGCCGGTTTGAAACCGTCCTTTCTTGGAATCTGCAGGTGGATATTTGGATAGATTTCAGGATTTCGTTGGAAACGGGATTACATACACAAAGTAGACAGTAGCATTCTCAGAAGCTTCTCTGTGATGTTTGCTTTTAAGTCACAGAGTTGAGCATTCCCTTTCATAAAGCAGGTTTGAAACACTCTTTCTGTAGTATCTGGAAGTGGACTTTTCGAGCGCTTTCAGGCCTATGGTGAAAAAGGAAATATCTTCCCATAAAAACTAGACAGAAGCATTCTCAGAAACTTATTTGTGATGTGTGTCCTCAACTAACAGAGTTGAACCTTTCTTTTGATACAGCAGTTTGGAAACACTCTTTTTGTAGAATCTGCAAGTGGATATTTGGATAACTGTGAAGTTTTCGTTGGAAACGGGAATATCTTCATGTTAAATCGAGACAGAAGCATTCTCAGAAACTGCTTTGTGATGTCTGCATTCTCATCACAGAGTTGAACATTCGCTTTCATAGAGCAGGTTTGAAACACTCTTTCTGCAGTATCTGGATGTGGACATTTGGAGCCCTTTGACGCTTACGGTGCAAAAGGAAATATCTCCCCATAAAAACTAGACAGAAGCATTCTCACAAACTGGTTTGTGATGTATGTCCTCAGCTAACAGAGTTGAACCTTTCTATTTACAGAGCAGTTTTGAAAGACTCAATTGGAGAATCTGCAAGTGGATATTTGGAAAGCTTTAAGGTTTCAATTGGAAACCGGAATATCTTCAGGTAAAATCTAGACAAGGGCATTCTCAGAAACTTCTTTGTGATGTGTGTCCTCAAGTAACAGAGTACAACCTGTCTTTTGATACAGTAGTTTGGAAACACCCTTTCTGTAGAATCTGCAAGTGGATATTTGGATAGCTCATGCTATTTCGTTGGAAACGGGAATAGCTTCATATAAACCCTAGAGAGAAGCACTCTCAGAAACTACTTTGTGATATCTGTATTCAAGTCACAGAGTTGAATATTCCCTTTCGTAAAGCAGGTTTGAAACCGTCTTTTCGTGGAATCTGCAGGAGGATATTTCGATAGCTTTGAGGATTTCGTTGGAAACGGGATTACATATACAAAGTAGACAGCAGCATTCTCAGAATCTGCTGTGTGATGTTTGCTTTTAAGTCACAGAGTTGAACATTCCCTTTCATAGAGCAGGTTTCCAACACTCTTTCTGTAGTATCTGGAAGAGGACATTTCGAGCACTTTCAGGCCTATGGTGAACAAGGAAAATATCTTCCCATAAAAACTTGACAGAAGCATTCTCACAAACTGGTTTGGGATGTATGTCCTCAGCTAACAGAGTACAACCTGTCTTTTGATACAGCAGTATTGAAAGACTCTTTCTGTAGAATCTGCAAGTGGATATTTGGATAGCTCTAACGATTTCGTTGGAAACGGGAATACTTTAATATAAAATCTAGACAGAGGCACTCTCAGAAACTGCTTTGTGATATGTGCATTCAAGTCACAGCGTTGAACATTCCCTTTATTGGAGCAGGTTTGAAACACTCTTTTTGTAGTATCTGGAAGTGGACATTTGGAGCGCTTTGACGTCTTTGGTGAAAAAGGAAATATCTTCCCATAAAAACTAGACAGAAGCATTCTCAGAAACTTCTTTGTGATGTGTGTCCTCAACTAACGGAATTCAACCTCTCTTATGATACAGATGTTTGGAAACACTCTTGTTGGAGAATATGCCTGGGGATATTTGGATAGCTCGAACTATTTCATTGGAAACGGGAATATCTTCATATAAAACCTAGACAGAAGCACTCTGAGAAACTACTTTGTGATATCTGCATTCAAGTCACAGAGTTGAATATTCCCTTTCTTAGAGCAGGTTTGAAACCGTCTTTTCGTGGAATCTGTAGGAGGATATTTGGATAGCTTTGAGGATTTCGTTGGAAACGGGATTACATATACAAAGTAGACAGCAGCATTCTCAGAAGCTGCTTTGTGATGTTTGCTTTTTATTCACAGAGTTGAACATTCCCTTTCATAGAGCAGGTTTCAAACACTCTTTCTGTAGTATCTGGAAGAGGACATTTCGAGCGCTTTCAGGTCTATGGTGAACAAGGAAATATCTTCCCATACAAACTGGTCAGAAGCATTCTCACAAACTGGTTTGGGATGTATGTCCTCAGCTAACAGAGTACAACCTGTCTTTTGATACAGCAGTATTGAAACACTCTTTCTGTAGAATCTGCAAGTGGATATTTGGATAGCTCTAACGATTTCATTGGAAACGGGAATACTGTAGTATAAAATCTAGACAGAGGCACTCTCAGAAACTGCTTTGTGATATGTGCATTCAAGTCACAGAGTTGAACATTCCCTGTATTAGAGCAGGTTTGAAACACTCTTTTTGTAGTATCTGGAAGTGGACATTTGGAGCGCTTTGACGCCTTTGGTGAGAAAGGAAATATCTTCCCTAAACAAGTAGACAGAAGCATTCTCAGAAACTTCTTTGTGATGTGTGTCCTCAACTAACAGAGTTCAACCTCTCTTATGATACAGAAATTTGGAAACACTCTTTTTGAAGAATATGCAAGGGGATATTTGGATAGCTCGAAGTATTTCGTTGGAAACGGGAATATCTTCATATAAAATCTAGACAGAAGCACTCTCAGAAACTATTTTGTGATATCTGCATTGAAGTCACAGAGTCGAACATTCCCTTTCTTAGAGCCGGTTTGAAACCGTCCTTTCTTGGAATCTGCAGGTGGATATTTGGATAGATTTCAGGATTTCGTTGGAAACGGGATTACATACACAAAGTAGACAGTAGCATTCTCAGAAGCTTCTCTGTGATGTTTGCTTTTAAGTCACAGAGTTGAGCATTCCCTTTCATAGAGCAGGTTTGAAACACTCTTTCTGTAGTATCTGGAAGTGGACTTTTCGAGCGCTTTCAGGCCTATGGTGAAAAAGGAAATATCTTCCCATAAAAACTAGACAGAAGCATTCTCAGAAACTTATTTGTGATGTGTGTCCTCAACTAACAGAGTTGAACCTTTCTTTTGATACAGCAGTTTGGAAACACTCTTTTTGTAGAATCTGCAAGTGGATATTTGGATAACTGTGAAGTTTTCGTTGGAAACGGGAATATCTTCATGTTAAATCGAGACAGAAGCATTCTCAGAAACTGCTTTGTGATGTCTGCATTCCCGTCACAGAGTTGAACATTCGCTTTCATAGAGCAGGTTTGAAAGACTCTTTCTGTAGTATCTGGATGTGGACACTTGGAGCGCTTTGACGCTTACGGTGAAAAAGGAAATATCTTCCCATAAAAACTAGACAGAAGCATTCTCACAAACTGGTTTGTGATGTATGTCCTCAGCTAACAGAGTTGAACCTTTCTATTTACAGAGCAGTTTTGAAAGACTCAATTGGAGAATCTGCAAGTGGATATTTGGAAAGCTTTAAGGTTTCAATTGGAAACCGGAATATCTTCAGGTAAAATCTAGACAAGGGCTTTCTCAGAAACTTCTTTGTGATGTGTGTCCTAAAGTAACAGAGTACAACCTGTCTTTTGATACAGCAGCTTGGAAACACTCTTTCTGTAGAATCTGCAAGTGGATATTTGGATAGCTGTAGCCATTTCGTTGGAAACGGGAATATCTTCATATAAACTCTAGACAGAAGCACTCTCAGAAACTACTTTGTGATATCTGTATTCAAGTCACAGAGTTGAATATTCCCTTTCTTAGAGCAGGTTTGAAGCCGTCTCTTCGTGGAATCTGCGGGAGGATATTTGGATAACCTTGAGGATTTCGTTGGAAACGGGATTACATATAGAAAGTAGACAGCAGCATTCTCAGAAGCTGCTTTGTGATGTTTGCTTTTAAGTCACAGAGTGGAACATTCCCTTTCATAGAGCAGGTTTCAAACACTCTTTCTGTAGTATCTGTAAGAGGATATTTCGAGCGCTTTCAGGCCTATGGTGAACAAGGAAATATCTTCCCATGAAAAGTTGACAGAAGCATTCTCACAAACTGGTTTGGGATGTATGTCCTCAGCTAACAGAGGACAACCTGTCTTTTGATACAGCAGTATTGAAACACTCTTTCTGTAGAATCTGCAAGTGGATATTTGGATAGCTCTAACGATTTCGTTGGAAACGGGAATACTTAATATAAAATCTAGACAGAGGCACTCTCAGAAACTGCTTTGTGATATGTGCACTCAAGTCACGTAGTTGAACATTCCCTTTATTAGAGCAGGTTTGAAACACTCTTTTTGTAGTATCTGGAAGTGGACATTTGGAGCGCTTTGACGCCTTTGGTGAAAAAGGAAATATCTTCCCTAAAAAACTAGACAGAAGCATTCTCAGAAACTTCTTTGTGATGTGTGTCCTCAACTAACAGAGTTCAACCTCTCTTATGATACAGAAGTTTGGAAACACTCTTTTTGGGGAATATGCCAGGGGATATTTGGATAGCTCGAAGTATTTCGTTGGAAACGGGAATATCTTCATATAAAATCTAGACAGAAGCACTCTCAGAAACTATTTTGTGATATCTGCATTGAAGTCACAGAGTCGAACATTCCCTTTCTTAGAGCCGGTTTGAAACCGTCCTTTCTTGGAATCTGCAGGTGGATATTTGGATAGATTTCAGGATTTCGTTGGAAACGGGATTACATACACAAAGTAGACAGTAGCATTCTCAGAAGCTTCTCTGTGATGTTTGCTTTTAAGTCACAGAGTTGAGCATTCCCTTTCATAAAGCAGGTTTGAAACACTCTTTCTGTAGTATCTGGAAGTGGACTTTTCGAGCGCTTTCAGGCCTATGGTGAAAAAGGAAATATCTTCCCATAAAAACTAGACAGAAGCATTCTCAGAAACTTATTTGTGATGTGTGTCCTCAACTAACAGAGTTGAACCTTTCTTTTGATACAGCAGTTTGGAAACACTCTTTTTGTAGAATCTGCAAGTGGATATTTGGATAACTGTGAAGTTTTCGTTGGAAACGGGAATATCTTCATGTTAAATCGAGACAGAAGCATTCTCAGAAACTGCTTTGTGATGTCTGCATTCTCATCACAGAGTTGAACATTCGCTTTCATAGAGCAGGTTTGAAACACTCTTTCTGCAGTATCTGGATGTGGACTTTTGGAGCCCTTTGACGCTTACGGTGCAAAAGGAAATATCTCCCCATAAAAACTAGACAGAAGCATTCTCATAAACTCGTTTGTGATGTATGTCCTCAGCTAACAGAGTTGAACCTTTCTATTTACAGAGCACTTTTGAAAGACTCAATTGGAGAATCTGCAAGTGGATATTTGGAAAGCTTTAAGGTTTCAATTGGAAACCGGAATATCTTCAGGTAAAATCTAGACAAGGGCATTCTCAGAAACTTCTTTGTGATGTGTGTCCTCAAGTAACAGAGTACAACCTGTCTTTTGATACAGCAGTTTGGAAACACCCTTTCTGTAGAATCTGCAAGTGGATATTTGGATAGCTCAAGCTATTTCGTTGGAAACGGGAACATCTTCATATAAACCCTAGACAGAAGCACTCTCAGAAACTACTTTGTGATATCTGTATTCAAGTCACAGAGTTGAATATTCCCTTTCTTAGAGCAGATTTGAAACCGTCTTTTCGTGGAATCTGCAGGAGGATATTTGGATAGATTTGAGGATTTCGTTGGAAACGGGATTACATTTACAAAGTAGACAGCAGCATTCTCAGAAGCTGCTTTGTGATGTTTGCTTTTAAGTCACAGAGTGGAACATTCACTTTCATAGAGCAGGTTTCAAACACTCTTTCTGTAGTATCTGGAAGAGGATATTTCGAGCGCTTTCAGGCGTATGGTGAACAAGGAAATATATTCCCATACAAACTTGACAGAAGTATTCTCACGAACTGGTTTGGGATGTATGTCCTCAGCTAACAGAGTACAGCCTGTCTTTTGATACAGCAGTATTGAAACACTCTTTCTGTAGAATCTGCAAGTGGATATTTGGATAGCTCTAACGATTTCGTTGGAAACGGGAATACTTTAGTATAAAATCTAGACAGAGGCACTCTCAGAAACTGCTTTGTGATATGTGCATTCAAGTCACAGAGTTGAACATTCCCTGTATTAGAGCAGGTTTGAAACACTCTTTTTGTAGTATCTGGAAGTGGACATTTGGAGCGCTTTGACGCCTTTGGTGAAAAAGGAAATATCTTCCCTAAACAACTAGACAGAAGCATTCTCAGAAACTTCTTTGTGATGTGTGTCCTCAACTAACAGAGTTCAACCTCTCTTATGATACAGAAGTTTGGAAACACTCTTTTTGGAGAATATGCCAGGGGATATTTGGATAGCTCGAAGTATTTCGTTGGAAAAGGGAATACCTTCATATAAAATCTAGACAGAAGCACTCTCAGAAACTACTTTGTGATATCTGTATTCAAGTCACAGAGTTCAATATTCCCTTTCTTAGAGCAGGTTTGAAACCGTCTTTTCGTGGAATCTGCAGGATGATATTTGGATAGCTTTGAGGATTTCGTTGGAAACGGGATTACATGTACAAAGTAGACAGCAGCATTCTCAGAAGCTGCTTTGTGATGTTTGCTTTTAAGTCACAGAGTTGAACATTCCCTTTCATAGAGCAGGATTCAAACACTCTTTCTGTAGTATCTGGAAGTGGACATTTCGAGGGCTTTCAGGCCTATGGTGAAAAAGGAAATATCTTCCCATAAAAAATAGACAGAAGCATTCTCAGAAACTTATTTGTGATGTGTGTCCTCAACTAACAGAGTTGAACCTTTCTTTTGATACAGCAGTTTGGAAACACTCTTTTTGTAGAATCTGCAAGTGGATATTTGGATAACTTTGAAGATTTCTTTGGAAACGGGAATATCTTCATGTTAAATCGAGAAAGAAGCATTCTCAGAAACTGCTTTGTGATGTGTGTCCCCAAGTAACAGAGTACAACCTGTCTTTTGATACAGCAGTTTGGAAACACTCTTTCTGTAGAATCTGCAAGTGGATATTTGGATAGCTCAAGCTATTTCGTTGGAAACGGGAATAGCTTCTTATAAACACTAGACAGAAGCACTCTCAGAAACTACTTTGTGATATCTGCATTCAACTCACAGAGTTCAATATTCCCTTTCTTAGACCAGGTTTGAAACCGTCTTTTCGTGGAATCTGCAGGAGGATATTTGGATAGGTTTGAGGATTTCGGTGGAAACACGATTTCATATACAAAGTAGACAGCAGCATTCTCAGGAGCTGCTTTGTGATGTTTGCTTTTAAGTCACGGAGTTGAACATTCCCTTTCATAGAGCAGGTTTCAAACACTCTTTCTCTAGTATCTGGAAGAGGACATTTCGAGCGCTTTCAGGCCTATGGTGAACAAGGAAATATCTTCCCATACAAACTTGACAGAAGCATTCTCACAAACTGGTTTGGGATGTATGTCCTCAGCTAACAGAGTACAGCCTGTCTTTTGATACAGCAGTATTGAAACACTCTTTCTGTAGAATCTGCAAGTGGATATTTGGATAGCTCTAACGATTTCGTTGGAAACGGGAATACTTTAGTATAAAATCTAGACACAGGCACTCTCAGAAACTGCTTTGTGATATGTGCACTCAACTCACGTAGTTGAAAATTCCCTTTATTAGAGCAGGTTTGAAACACTCTTTTTGTAGTATCTGGAAGTGGACATTTGGAGCGCTTTGACGCCTTTGGTGAAAAAGGAAATATCTTCCCTAAAAAACTAGACAGAAGCATTCTCAGAAACTTCTTTGTGATGTGTGTCCTCAACTAACAGAGTTCAACCTCTCTTATGATACAGAAGTTTGGAAACACTCTTTTTGGGGAATATGCCAGGGGATATTTGGATAGCTCGAAGTATTTCGTTGGAAACGGGAATATCTTCATATAAAATCTAGACAGAAGCACTCTCAGAAACTATTTTGTGATATCTGCATTGAAGTCACAGAGTCGAACATTCCCTTTCTTAGAGCCGGTTTGAAACCGTCCTTTCTTGGAATCTGCAGGTGGATATTTGGATAGATTTCAGGATTTCGTTGGAAACGGGATTACATACACAAAGTAGACAGTAGCATTCTCAGAAGCTTCTCTGTGATGTTTGCTTTTAAGTCACAGAGTTGAGCATTCCCTTTCATAGAGCAGGTTTGAAACACTCTTTCTGTAGTATCTGGAAGTGGACTTTTCGAGCGCTTTCAGGCCTATGGTGAAAAAGGAAATATCTTCCCATAAAAACTAGACAGAAGCATTCTCAGAAACTTATTTGTGATGTGTGTCCTCAACTAACAGAGTTGAACCTTTCTTTTGATACAGCAGTTTGGAAACACTCTTTTTGTAGAATCTGCAAGTGGATATTTGGATAACTGTGAAGTTTTCGTTGGAAACGGGAATATCTTCATGTTAAATCGAGACAGAAGCATTCTCAGAAACTGCTTTGTGATGTCTGCATTCTCATCACAGAGTTGAACATTCGCTTTCATAGAGCAGGTTTGAAACACTCTTTCTGCAGTATCTGGATGTGGACTTTTGGAGCCCTTTGACGCTTACGGTGCAAAAGGAAATATCTCCCCATAAAAACTAGACAGAAGCATTCTCACAAACTGGTTTGTGATGTATGTCCTCAGCTAACAGAGTTGAACCTTTCTATTTACAGAGCACTTTTGAAAGACTCAATTGGAGAATCTGCAAGTGGATATTTGGAAAGCTTTAAGGTTTCAATTGGAAACCGGAATATCTTCAGGTAAAATCTAGACAAGGGCATTCTCAGAAACTTCTTTGTGATGTGTGTCCTCAAGTAACAGAGTACAACCTGTCTTTTGATACAGCAGTTTGGAAACACCCTTTCTGTAGAATCTGCAAGTGGATATTTGGATAGCTCAAGCTATTTCGTTGGAAACGGGAACATCTTCATATAAACCCTAGACAGAAGCACTCTCAGAAACTACTTTGTGATATCTGTATTCAAGTCACAGAGTTGAATATTCCCTTTCTTAGAGCAGATTTGAAACCGTCTTTTCGTGGAATCTGCAGGAGGATATTTGGATAGATTTGAGGATTTCGTTGGAAACGGGATTACATTTACAAAGTAGACAGCAGCATTGTCAGAAGCTGCTTTGTGATGTTTGCTTTTAAGTCACAGAGTGGAACATTCACATTCATAGAGCAGGTTTCAAACACTCTTTCTGTAGTATCTGGAAGAGGACATTTCGAGCGCTTTCAGGCCTATGGTGAACAAGGAAATATCTTCCCATAGAAACTTGACAGAAGTATTCTCACGAACTGGTTTGGGATGTATGTCCTCAGCTAACAGAGTACAGCCTGTCTTTTGATACAGCAGTATTGAAACACTCTTTCTGTAGAATCTGCAAGTGGATATTTGGATAGCTCTAACGATTTCGTTGGAAACGGGAATACTTTAGTATAAAATCTAGACAGAGGCACTCTCAGAAACTGCTTTGTGATATGTGCACTCAATTCACAGAGGTGAACATTCCCTTTCATAGAGCAGGTTTGAAACACTCTTTTTGTAGTATCTGGAAGTGGACATTTCGAGCGCTTTGACGCCTTTGGTGAAAAAGGAAATATCTTCCCTAAAAAACTACACAGAAGCATTCTCAGAAACTTCTTTGTGATGTGTGTCCTCAACTAACAGAGTTCAACCTCTCTTATGATACAGAAGTTTGGAAACACTCTTTTTGTAGAATATGCCAGGGGTTATTTGGATAGCTTGAAGTATTTCGTTGGAAACCGGAATAACTTCATATAAAATCTAGACAGAAGCACTCTCAGAAACTACTTTTTGATTACTGCATTCAAGTCAGAGTTGAATATTCCCTTTCTGAGAGCAGGTTTGAAACCGTCTTTTCTTGGAATCTGCAGGTGGATATTTAGATAGCTTTCAGGATTTCGTTGGAAACGGGATTCCATATACAAGGTAGACCGTAGCATTCTCAGAATCTTCTCTGTGATGTTTGCCTTTAAGTCACAGAGTTGAACATTCCCTTTCATAGAGCAGGTTTGAAACACTCTATCTGTAGCATCTGGAAGTGGACATTTCGAGTGCTTTCAGGCCTATGGTGAACAAGGAAATATCTTCCCATAGAAAATTGACAGAAGCATTCTCAGAAACTTATTTGTGATGTGTGTTTTCAACTAACAGAGTTGAACGTTTCTTTTGATACAGCAGTTTGGAAACACACTTTCTGTAGAATCTGCAAGGGGATATTTGGATAACTTTGAAGATTTCGTTGGAAGCGGGAATATCTTCATGTAAAATCGAGACAGAAGCATTCTCAGAAACTGCTTTGTGATGTCTGCATTCCCGTCACAGAGTTGAACATTCGCTTTCATAGAGCAGGTTTGAAAGACTCTTTCTGTAGTATCTGGATGTGGACACTTGGAGCGCTTTGACGCTTACGGTGAAAAAGGAAATATCTTCCCATAAAAACTAGACAGAAGCATTCTCACAAACTGGTTTGTGATGTATGTCCTCAGCTAACAGAGTTGAACCTTTCTATTTACAGAGCAGTTTTGAAAGACTCAATTGGAGAATCTGCAAGTGGATATTTGGAAAGCTTTAAGGTTTCAATTGGAAACCGGAATATCTTCAGGTAAAATCTAGACAAGGGCATTCTCAGAAACTTCTTTGTGATGTGTGTCCTCAAGTAACAGAGTACAACCTGTCTTTTGATACAGCAGTTTGGAAACACCCTTTCTGTAGAATCTGCAAGTGGATATTTGGATAGCTCAAGCTATTTCGTTGGAAACGGGAACATCTTCATATAAACCCTAGACAGAAGCACTCTCAGAAACTACTTTGTGATACCTGTATTCAAGTCACAGAGTTGAATATTCCCTTTCTTAGAGCAGATTTGAAACCGTCTTTTCGTGGAATCTGCAGGAGGATATTTGGATAGATTTGAGGATTTCGTTGGAAACGGGATTACATTTACAAAGTAGACAGCAGCATTGTCAGAAGCTGCTTTGTGATGTTTGCTTTTAAGTCACAGAGTGGAACATTCACATTCATAGAGCAGGTTTCAAACACTCTTTCTGTAGTATCTGGAAGAGGACATTTCGAGCGCTTTCAGGCCTATGGTGAACAAGGAAATATCTTCCCACAGAAACTTGACAGAAGCATTCTCACAAACTGGTTTGTGATGTAGGTCCTCAACTAACAGAGTACAACCTGTCTTTTGATACAGCAGTATTGAAACACTCTTTCTGTAGAATCTGCAATTGGATATTTGGATAGCTCTAACGATTTCGTTGGAAACGGGAATACTTTAATATAAAATCTAGACAGAGGCACTGTCGGAAACTGCTTTGTGATATCTGCATTCAACTCACAGAGTTGAACATTCCCTTTCTTAGAGCAGGTTTGAAACACTCTTTTTGTAGTATCTGGAAGTGGACATTTGGAGCGCTTTGACGCCTTTGGTGATAAAGGAAATGTCTTCACATAAAAACTAGACAAAAGCATTCTCAGAAACTTCTTTGTGATGTGTGTCCTCAACTAACAGAGTTCAACCTCTCTTATGATACAGAAGTTTGGAAATACTCTTTTTGTAGAATATGCAAGGGGATATTTGGATAGCTCGAAGTATTTCGTTGGAAACGGGAATATCTTCATATAAAATCTAGACAGAAGCACTCTCAGAAACTACTTTGTGATATCTGCATTCAAGTCACAGAGTCGAACATTCCCTTTCTTAGAGCCGGTTTGAAACCGCCTTTTCTTGGAATCTGCAGGTGGATATTTGGATAGCTTTCAGGATTTCTTTGGAAACGGGATTACATATACAACTTAGACAGTAGCATTCTCAGAAGCTTCTCTGTGACGTTTGCTTTTAAGTCACAGCGTTGAGCATTCCCTTTCATAGAGCAGGTTTGAAACACTCTTTCTGTCGTATCTGGAAGTGGACATTTCGAGGGCTTTCAGGCCTACGGTGAAAAAGGAAATATCTTCCCATAAAAACTAGACAGAAGCATTCTCAGAAACTTATTTGTGATGTGTGTCCTCAACTAACAGAGTTGAACCTTTCTTTTGATACAGCAGTTTGGAAACACTCTTTTTGTAGAATCTGCAAGTGGATATTCGGATAACTTTGAAGATTTCGTTGGAAACGGGAATATCTTCATGTAAAATCGAGACAGAAGCATTCTCAGAAGCTTCTCTGTGATGTTTGACTTTAAGTCACAGAGTTGAACATTCCCTTCATAGAGGAGGTTTGAAACACTCTATCTGTAGCATCTGGAAGTGGACATTTGGAGCGCTTTCAGGCCTATGGTGAAAAAGGAAATATCTTCCCATAAAAACTAGACAGAAGCACCATCAGAAAATACATTTTGATATCTGTATTCAAGTCACGGAGTTGAATATTCCCTTTCTTAGAGCAGGTTTGAAACCATCTTTTCGTGGAATCTGCAGGAGGCTATTTGGATAGCTTTGAGGATTTCGTTGGAAACGGGATTACATATACAAAGTAGACAGCAGCATTCTCAGAAGCTGCTGTGTGATGTTTGCTTTTAAGTCACAGAGTTGAACATTCCCTTTCATAGAGCAGGTTTCAAACACTCTTTCTGTAGTATCTGGAAGAGGACATTTCGAGCGCTTTGACGCTTTCGGTGAAAAAGGAAATATCTTCCCATAAAAACTTGACAGAAGCATTCCCACAAACTGGTTTGGGATGTATGTCCTCAGCTAACAGAGTACAACCTGTCTTTTGATACAGCAGTATTGAAACACTCTTTCTGTAGAATCTGCAAGTGGATATTTGGATAGCTCTAACGATTTCGTTGGAAACGGGAATACTTTAATATAAAATCTAGACAGAGGCACTCTCAGAAACTGCTTTGTGATATGTGCACTCAAGTCACGTAGTTGAACATTCCCTTTATTAGAGCAGGTTTGAAACACTCTTTTTGTAGTATCTGGAAGTGGACATTTGGAGCGCTTTGACGCCTTTGGTGAAAAAGGAAATATCTTCCCTAAAAAACTAGACAGAAGCATTCTCAGAAACTTCTTTGTGATGTGTGTCCTCAACTAACAGAGTTCAACCTCTCTTATGATACAGAAGTTTGGAAACACTCTTTTTGGGGAATATGCCAGGGGATATTTGGATAGCTCGAAGTATTTCGTTGGAAACGGGAATATCTTCATATAAAATCTAGACAGAAGCACTCTCAGAAACTATTTTGTGATATCTGCATTGAAGTCACAGAGTCGAACATTCCCTTTCTTAGAGCCGGTTTGAAACCGTCCTTTCTTGGAATCTGCAGGTGGATATTTGGATAGATTTCAGGATTTCGTTGGAAACGGGATTACATACACAAAGTAGACAGTAGCATTCTCAGAAGCTTCTTTGTGATGTTTGCTTTTAAGTCACAGAGTTGAACATTCGCATTCATAGAGCAGGTTTGAAACACTCTTTCTGTAGTATCTGGAAGTGGACGTTTCGAGCGCTTTCAGGCTCATGGTGAAAAAGGAAATATCTTCCCATAAAAACTAGACAGAAGGATTCTCAGAAACTTATTTGTGATGTGTGTCCTCAACTAACAGAGTTGAACCTTTCTTTTGATACAGCAGTTTGGAAACACTCTTTTTGTAGAATCTGCAAGTGGATATTTGGATAACTTTGAAGATTTCTTTGGAAACGGGAATATCTTCATGTAAAATCGAGACAGAAGCATTCTCAGAAACTGCTTTGTGATGTCTGCATTCCCGTCACAGAGTTGAACATTCGCTTTCATAGAGCAGGTTTGAAAGACTCTTTCTGTAGTATCTGGATGTGGACACTTGGAGCGCTTTGACGCTTACGGTGAAAAAGGAAATATCTTCCCATAAAAACTAGACAGAAGCATTCTCACAAACTGGTTTGTGATGTATGTCCTCAGCTAACAGAGTTGAACCTTTCTATTTACAGAGCACTTTTGAAAGACTCAATTGGAGAATCTGCAAGTGGATATTTGGAAAGCTTTAAGGTTTCAATTGGAAACCGGAATATCTTCAGGTAAAATCTAGACAAGGGCATTCTCAGAAACTTCTTTGTGATGTGTGTCCTCAAGTAACAGAGTACAACCTGTCTTTTGATACAGCAGTTTGGAAACACCCTTTCTGTAGAATCTGCAAGTGGATATTTGGATAGCTCAAGCTATTTCGTTGGAAACGGGAACATCTTCATATAAACCCTAGACAGAAGCACTCTCAGAAACTACTTTGTGATATCTGTATTCAAGTCACAGAGTTGAATATTCCCTTTCTTAGAGCAGATTTGAAACCGTCTTTTCGTGGAATCTGCAGGAGGATATTTGGATAGATTTGAGGATTTCGTTGGAAACGGGATTACATTTACAAAGTAGACAGCAGCATTGTCAGAAGCTGCTTTGTGATGTTTGCTTTTAAGTCACAGAGTGGAACATTCACATTCATAGAGCAGGTTTCAAACACTCTTTCTGTAGTATCTGGAAGAGGACATTTCGAGCGCTTTCAGGCCTATGGTGAACAAGGAAATATCTTCCCATAGAAACTTGACAGAAGTATTCTCACGAACTGGTTTGGGATGTATGTCCTCAGCTAACAGAGTACAGCCTGTCTTTTGATACAGCAGTATTGAAACACTCTTTCTGTAGAATCTGCAAGTGGATATTTGGATAGCTCTAACGATTTCGTTGGAAACGGGAATACTTTAGTATAAAATCTAGACAGAGGCACTCTCAGAAACTGCTTTGTGATGTGCGCATTCAAGTCACAGATTTGAACATTCCCTTTATTAGAGCAGGTTTGAAACACTCTTTTTGTAGTATCTTGAAGTGGACATTTGGAGCGCTTTGACGCCTTTGGTGAAAAAGGAAATATCTTCCCTAAAAAACAAGACAGAAGCATTCTCAGAAACTTGTTTGTGATGTGTGTCCTCAACTAACAGAGTTCAACCTCTCTTATGATACAGAAGTTTGGAAACACTCTTTTTGTAGAATATGCCAGGGGTTATTTGGATAGCTTGAAGTATTTCGTTGGAAACCGGAATAACTTCATATAAAATCTAGACAGAAGCACTCTCAGAAACTACTTTGTGATATCTGCATTCAAGTCACAGAGTCGAACATTCCCTTTCTTAGAGCCGGTTTGAAACCGTCTTTTCTTGGAATCTGCAGGTGGATATTTGGATAGCTTTCAGGATTTCTTTGGAAACGGGATTACATATACAAATTAGACTGTAGCATTCTCAGAAGCTTCTGTGTGATGTTTGCCTTTAAGTCACAGAGTTGAACATTCCCTTTCATAGAGCAGGTTTGAAACACTCTATCTGTAGCATCTGGAAGTGGACATTTGGAGCACTTTCAGGCCTATGGTGAAAAAGGAAATATCTTCCCATAAAAACTAGACAGAAGCATTCTCAGAAACTTATTTGTGATGTGTGTCCTCAACTAACAGAGTTGAACCTTTCTTTTGATACAGCAGTTTGGAAACACTCTTTTTGTAGAATCTGCAAGTGGATATTTGGATAACTTTGAAGATTTCTTTGGAAACGGGAATATCTTCATGTTAAACCGAGAAAGAAGCATTCTCAGAAACTGCTTTGTGATGTGTGTCCCCAAGTAACAGAGTACAACCTGTCTTTTGATACAGCAGTTTGGAAACACTCTTTCTGTAGAATCTGCAAGTGGATATTTGGATAGCTCAAGCTATTTCGTTGGAAACGGGAATAGCTTCTTATAAACACTAGACAGAAGCACTCTCAGAAACTACTTTGTGATATCTGTATTCAAGTCACAGAGTTGAATATTCCCTTTCTTAGAGCAGGTATGAAACCGTCTTTTCGTGGAATCTGCAGGAGGATATTTGGATAGCTTTGAGGATTTCGTTGGAAACGGGATTACATATACAAAGTAGACAGCAGCATTCTCAGGAGCTGCTTTGTGATGTTTGCTTTTAAGTCACGGAGTTGAACATTCCCTTTCATAGAGCAGGTTTCAAACACTCTTTCTCTAGTATCTGGAAGAGGACATTTCGAGCGCTTTCAGGCCTATGGTGAACAAGGAAATATCTTCCCATAGAAACTTGACAGAAGCATTCTCACAAACTAGTTTGGGATGTATGTCCTCAGCTAACAGAGTACAGCCTGTCTTTTGATAGAGCAGTATTGAAACACTCTTTCCTTAGAATCTGCAATTGGATATTTGGATAGCTCTAACGATTTCGTTGGAAACGGGAATACTTTAGTATAAAATCTAGACAGAGGCACTCTCAGAAACTGCTTTGTGATATGTGCACTCAAGTCACATAGTTGAACATTCCCTTTATTAGAGCAGGTTTGAAACACTCTTTTTGTAGTATCTGGAAGTGGACACTTGGAGCGCTTTGACGCCTTTGGTGAAAAAGGAAATATCTTCCGTAAAAAACTAGACAGAAGCATTCTCAGAAACTTCTTTGTGATGTGTGTCCTCAACTAACGGAATTCAACCTCTCTTATGATACAGATGTTTGGAAACACTCTTGTTGGAGAATATGCCTGGGGATATTTGGATAGCTCGAACTATTTCATTGGAAACGGGAATATCTTCATATAAAACCTAGACAGAAGCACTCTCAGAAACTATTTTGTGATATCTGCATTGAAGTCACAGAGTCGAACATTCCCTTTCTTAGAGCCGGTTTGAAACCGTCCTTTCTTGGAATCTGCAGGTGGATATTTGGATAGATTTCAGGATTTCGTTGGAAACGGGATTACATACACAAAGTAGACAGTAGCATTCTCAGAAGCTTCTCTGTGATGTTTGCTTTTAAGTCACAGAGTTGAGCATTCCCTTTCATAGAGCAGGTTTGAAACACTCTTTCTGTAGTATCTGGAAGTGGACTTTTCGAGCGCTTTCAGGCCTATGGTGAAAAAGGAAATATCTTCCCATAAAAACTAGACAGAAGCATTCTCAGAAACTTATTTGTGATGTGTGTCCTCAACTAACAGAGTTGAACCTTTCTTTTGATACAGCAGTTTGGAAACACTCTTTTTGTAGAATCTGCAAGTGGATATTTGGATAACTGTGAAGTTTTCGTTGGAAACGGGAATATCTTCATGTTAAATCGAGACAGAAGCATTCTCAGAAACTGCTTTGTGATGTCTGCATTCTCATCACAGAGTTGAACATTCGCTTTCATAGAGCAGGTTTGAAACACTCTTTCTGCAGTATCTGGATGTGGACATTTGGAGCCCTTTGACGCTTACGGTGCAAAAGGAAATATCTCCCCATAAAAACTAGACAGAAGCATTCTCATAAACTGGTTTGTGATGTATGTCCTCAGCTAACAGAGTTGAACCTTTCTATTTACAGAGCACTTTTGAAAGACTCAATTGGAGAATCTGCAAGTGGATATTTGGAAAGCTTTAAGGTTTCAATTGGAAACCGGAATATCTTCAGGTAAAATCTAGACAAGGGCATTCTCAGAAACTTGTTTGTGTTGTGTGTCCTCAAGTAACAGAGTACAACCTGTCTTTTGATACAGCAGTTTGGAAACACTCTTTATGTAGAATCTGCAAGTGGATAGTTGGATAGCTCAAGCTATTTCGTTGGAAAGGGGAATATGTTCATATAAACTCTAGACAGAAGCACTCTCAGAAACTACTTTGTGATATCTGTATTCAAGTCACAGAGTTGAATATTCCCTTTCTTAGAGCAGGTTTGAAACCGTCTTTTTGTGGAATCTGCAGGAGGATATTTGGATAGCTTTGAGGATTTCGTTGGAAATGGGATTACATGTACAAAGTAGACAGCAGCATTCTCAGAAGCTGCTGTGTGATGTTTGCTTTTAAGTCACAGAGTTGAATATTGCCTTTCATAGAGCAGGTTTCCAACACTCTTTCTGTAGTATCTGGAAGAGGACATTTCGAGCGCTTTCAGCCCTATGGTGTACAAGGAAATATCTTCCCATAAAAACTTGACAGAAGCATTCTCACAAACTGGTTTGGGATGTATGTCCTCAGCTAACAGAGTACAACCTGTCTTTTGATACAGCAGTATTGAAACACTCTTTCTGTAGAATCTGCAAGTGGATATTTGGATAGCTCTAACGATTTCGTTGGAAAGGGTAATATTTAATATAAAATCTAGACAGAGGCACTCTCAGAAACTGCTTTGTGATATGTGCATTCAAGTCACAGAGTTGAACATTCCCTTTATTAGAGCAGGTTTGAAACACTCTTTTTGTAGTATCTGGAAGTGGACATTTCGAGCGCTTTGACGCCTTTGGTGAAAAAGGAAATATCTTCCCTAAAAAACTACACAGAAGCATTCTCAGAAACTTCTTTGTGATGTGTGCCCTCAACTAACAGAGTTCAACCTCTCTTATGATACAGAAGTTTGGAAACACTCTTTTTGTAGTATATGCAAGGGGATATTTGGATAGCTCGAAGTATTTCGTTGGAAACGGGAATATCTTCATATAAAATCTAGACAGAAGCACTCTCAGAAACTACTTTGTGATATCTGCATTCAAGTCACAGAGTTGAATATTCCCTTTCTTAGAGCAGATTTGAAACGGTCTTTTCTTGGAATCTGCAGGTGGATATTTGGATAGCTTTCAGGATTTCTTTGGAAACGGGATTACATATACAAATTAGACTGTAGCATTCTCAGAAGCTTCTCTGTGATGTTTGCTTTTAAGTCACAGAGTTGAGCATTCCCTTTCATAGAGCAGGTTTGAAACACTCTTTCTATAGTATCTGGAAGTGGACATTTCGAGGGCTTTCAGGCCTATGGTGAAAAAGGAAATATCTTCCCATAAAAACTAGACAGA
>NC_000018.10:20736125-20747698 GCF_000001405.40 Homo sapiens
AGCATTCTCACAAACTGGTTTGGGATGTATGTCCTCAGCTAACAGAGTACAACCCGTCTTTTGATACAGCAGTATTGAAACACTCTTTCTGTAGAATCTGCAAGTGGATATTTGGATAGCTCTAACGATTTCGTTGGAAACGGGAATACTTTAGTATAAAATCTAGACACAGGCACTCTCAGAAACTGCTCTGTGATATGTGCATTCAAGTCACAGAGTTCAACATTCCCTTTATTAGAGCAGGTTTGAAACACTCTTTTTGTAGTATCTGGAAGTGGACATTTGGAGCGCTTTGACGCCTTTGCTGAAAAAGGAAATATCTTCTCTTCAAAACTAGACAGAAGCATTCTCAGAAACTTCTTTGTGATGTGTTTCGTAAACTAACAGAGTTCAACCTCTCTTATGATACAGAAGTTTGGAAACACTCTTTTGGAGAATATGCAAGGGGATATTTGGATAGCTCGAAGTATTTCGTTGGAAACGGGAATATCTTCATATAAAATCTAGACAGAAGCACTCTCAGAAACTACTTTTTGATTACTGCATTCAAGTCAGAGTTGAATATTCCCTTTCTGAGAGCAGGTTTGAAACCGTCTTTTCTTGGAATCTGCAGGTGGATATTTAGATAGCTTTCAGGATTTCGTTGGAAACGGGATTCCATATACAAGGTAGACCGTAGCAGTCTCAGAAGCTTCTCTGTGATGTTTGCCTTTAAGTCACAGAGTTGAACATTCCCTTTCATAGAGCAGGTTTGAAACACTCTATCTGCAGCATCTGGAAGTGGATATTTGGAGCGCTTTCAGGCCTATGGTGAAAAAGGAAAGATCTTCTCATAAAAACTAGACAGAAATCATTCTCAGAAACTTATTTGTGATGTATGTCCTCAACTAACGGAGTTGAACCTTTCTTTTGATACAGCAGTTTGGAAACACTCTTCTTGTAGAATCTGCAAGTGGATATTTGGATAACTTTGAAGATTTCGTTGGAAACGGGAATATCTTCATGTAAAATCGAGACAGAAGCATTCTCACAAACTGCTTTGTGATGTCTGCATTCACGTCACAGAGTTGAACATTCGCTTTCATAGAGCAGGTTTGAAACACTCTTTCTGTAGTATCTGGATGTGGACACTTGGAGCGCTTTGACGCTTACGGTGCAAAAGGAAATATCTTCCCATAAAAACTAGACAGAAGCATTCTCACAAACTCGTTTGTGATGTATGTCTTCAACTAACAGAGTTGAACATTTCTATTTACAGAGTAGTTCTGAAAGACTCAGTTGGAGAATCTGCAAGTTGATATTTGGAAAGCTTTAAGGGTTTCATTGGAAACAGGAATATCTTCAGGTAAAATCTAGATAGGGGCATTCTCACAAAATGCTTTGTGATGTGTGTCCTCAAGTAACAGAGTACAACCTGTCTTTTGATACTGCAGTTTGGAAACACTCTTTCTGTAGAATCTGCAAGTGGATATTTGGATAGCTCAAGTTATTTCGTTGGAAACGGGAATAGCATCATATAAACCCTAGACAGAAGCACTCTCAGAAACTACTTTGTGATATCTGTATTCAAGTCACAGAGTTGAATATTCCTTTTCTTAGAGCAGGTTTGAAACCGTCTTTTCGTGGAATCTGCAGGAGGATATTTGGATAGCTTTGAGGATTTCGTCGGAAACGGGATTACATATACAAAGTAGGCAGCATTCTCAGAAGCTGCTTTGTGATGTTTGCCTTTAAGTCATAGAGTTGAACATTCCCTTTCAGAGAGCAGGTTTCAAACACTCTTTCTGTAGTATCTGGAAGAGGACATTTCGAGCGCTTTCAGGCCTATGGTGAACAAGGAAATATCTTCCCATACAAACTTGACAGAAGCATTCTCACAAACTGGTTTGGGATGTATGTCCTCAGCTAACAGAGTACAACCTGTCTTTTGATACAGCAGTATTGAAACACTCTTTCTGTAGAATCTGCAAGTGGATATTTGGATAGCTCTAACGATTTCGTTGGAAACGGGAATACTTTAGTATGAAATCTAGACTCAGGCACTCTCAGAAACTGCTTTGTGATATGCGCATTCAAGTCACAGAGTTGAACATTCCCTTTATTAGAGCAGGTTTGAAACACTCTTTTTATAGTATCTGGAAGTGGACATTTGCAGCGCTTTTACGCCTTTGGGGAAAAAGGAAATATCTTCCTTAAAAAACTAGAGAGAAGCATTCTCAGAAACTTCTTTGTGATGTGTTTCCTCAACTAACAGAGTTCAACCTCTCTTATGATACAGAAGTTTGGAAACACTCTTTCTGTAGAACATGCAAGGGGATATTTGGATAGCCTGAAGAATTTCGTTGGAAACGGGAATACCTTCATATAAAATCTAGACAGAAGCAGCACTCTCAGAAACTACTTTGTGAAAACTGCATTCAAGTCAGAGTTGAATATTCCCTTTCTGAGAGCAGGTTTGAAACCGTCTTTTCTTGGAATCTGCAGGTGGATATTTGGATAGCTTTCAGGATTTCGTTGGAAACGGGATTCCATATACAAAGTAGACAGTAGCATTCTCAGAATCTTCTCTGTGATGCTTGCCTTTAAGTCACAGAGTTGAACATTCCCTTTCATAGAGCAGGTTTGAAACACTCTATCTGTAGCATCTGGAAGTGGACATTTCGAGCGCTTTCAGGCCTATGGTGAAAAAGGAAATATCTTCCCATAAAAACTAGACAGAAGCATTCTCAGAAACTTATTTGTGATGTGTGTCCTCAATTAACAGAGTTGAACCTTTATTTTGATACAGCAGTTTGGAAACACACTTTTGTAGAATCTGCAAGGGGATATTTGGAAAATTTTGAAGATTTCGTTGGAATCGGGAATATCTTCATGTAAAATCGAGACAGAAGCATTCTCAGAAACAGCTTTGTGATGTCTGCATTAACGTCACAGAGTTGAACATTCGCTTTCATAGAGCAGGTTTGAAACACTCTTTCTGCAGTATCTGGATGTGGACACTTGGAGCGCTTTGACGCTTACGGTGCAAAAGGAAATATCTTCCCATAAAAACTAGACAGAAGCATTCTCACAAACTGGTTTGTGATGTGAGTCCTCAGCTAACAGAGTTGAACCTTTCTATTTACAGAGCTGTTTTGAAAGACTCTATTGGAGAATCTGCAAGTGGATATTTGGAAAGCTTTAAGGATTTCATTGGAAACCGGAATATCTTCAGGTAAAATCTCGACAAGGGCATTCTCAGAAACTTCTTTGTGATGTGTGTCCTCAAGTAACAGAGTACAACCTGTCTTTTGATACAGCAGTTTGGAAACACTCTTTCTGTAGAATCTACAAGTGGATATTTGGATAGCTCAAGCTATTTCGTTGGAAACGGGAATAGCTTCATATAAACTCTAGACAGAAGCACTCTCAGAAACTACTTTGTGATATCTGTATTCAAGTCACAGAGTTGAATATTCCCTTTCTTAGAGCAGGTTTGAAACCGTCTTTTCGTGGAATCTGCAGGAGGATATTTGGATAGCTTTGGGGATTTCGTCGGAAACGGGATTACATATACAAAGCAGACAGCAGCATTCTCAGAAGCTGCTTTCTGATGTTTGCTTTTAAGTCACAGAGTTTAACATTCCCTTTCAGAGAGCAGGATTCAAACACTCTTTCTGTAGTATCTGGAAGAGGACATTTCGAGCGCTTTCAGGCCTATGGTGAACTAGGAAATATCTTCCCATACAAACTTGACAGAAGCATTCTCACAAACTGGTTTGGGATGTATGTCCTCAGCTAACAGAGTACAACCTGTCTTTTGATACAGCAGTATTGAAACACTCTTTCTGTAGAATCTGCAAGTGGATATTTGGATAGCTCTAACGATTTCATTGGAAACGGGAATACTGTAGTATAAAATCTAGACAGAGGCACTCTCAGAAACTGCTCTGTGATATGTGCATTCAAGTCACAGAGTTGAACATTCCCTTTATTAGAGCAGGTTTGAAACACTCTTTTTGTAGTATCTGGAAGTGGACATTTGGAGCGCTTTGACGACTTTGCTGAAAAAGGAAATATCTTCTCTTCAAAACTAGACAGAAACATTCCCAGAAACTTCTTTGTGATGTGTGTCCTCAACTAACAGAGTTCAACCTCTCTTATGATACAGAAGTTTGGAAACACTCTTTCTGTAGAACATGCAAGGGGATATTTGGATAGCTCGAAGAATTTCGTTGGAAACGGGAATACCTTCATATAAAATCTAGACAGAAGCACTCTCAGAAACTACTTTGTGATAACTGCATTCAAGTCACAGTTGAATATTCCGTTTCTGAGAGCAGGTTTGAAACCGTCTTTTCTTGGAATCTGCAGGTGGATATTTGGATAGCTTTCAGGATTTCGTTGGAAATGGGATTCCATATTCAAAGTAGACAGTAGCATTCTCAGAAGCTTCTCTGTGATGTTTGACTTTAAGTCACAGAGTTGAACATTCCCTTCATAGAGGAGGTTTGAAACACTCTATCTGTAGCATCTGGAAGTGGACATTTGGAGCGCTTTCAGGCCTATGGTGAAAAAGGAAATATCTTCCCATAAAAACTAGACAGAAGCATTCTCAGAAACTTATTTGTGATGTGTGTTTTCAACTAACAGAGTTGAACCTTTCTTTTGATACAGCAGTTTGGAAACACACTTTCTGTAGAATCTGCAAGGAGATATTTGGATAACTTTGAAGATTTCGTTGGAAGCGGGAATATCTTCATGTAAAATCGAGACAGAAGCATTCTCAGAAACACCTTTGTGATGTCTGCATTCACGTCACACAGTTGAACATTCGCTTTCATAGCGCAGGTTTGAAACACTCTTTCTGCAGTATCTGGATGTGGACACTTGGAGCGCTTTGACGCTTACGGTGCAAAAGGAAATATCTTTCCATAAAAACTAGACAGAAGCATTCTCACAAACTGGTTTGTGATGTATGTCCTCAACTAACAGAGTTGAACCTTTCTATTTACAGAGCAGTTTTGAAAGACTCTATTGGAGAATCTGCAAGTGCATATTTGGAAAGCTTTAAGGATTTCATTGGAAACCGGAATATCTTCAGGTAAAATCTCCACAAGGGCATTCTCAGAAACTTGTTTGTGTTGTGTGTCCTCAAGTAACAGAGTACAACCTGTCTTTTGATACAGCAGTTTGGAAACACTCTTTATGTAGAATCTGCAAGTGGATAGTTGGATAGCTCAAGCTATTTCGTTGGAAAGGGGAATATGTTCATATAAACTCTAGACAGAAGCACTCTCAGAAACTACTTTGTGATATCTGTATTCAAGTCACAGAGTTGAATATTCCCTTTCTTAGAGCAGGTTTGAAACCGTCTTTTTGTGGAATCTGCAGGAGGATATTTGGATAGCTTTGAGGATTTCGTTGGAAATGGGATTACATGTACAAAGTAGACAGCCAGCATTCTCAGAAGCTGCTGTGTGATGTTTGCTTTTAAGTCACAGAGTTGAATATTGCCTTTCATAGAGCAGGTTTCCAACACTCTTTCTGTAGTATCTGGAAGAGGACATTTCGAGCGCTTTCAGCCCTATGGTGTACAAGGAAATATCTTCCCATAAAAACTTGACAGAGCATTCTCACAAACTGGTTTGGGATGTATGTCCTCAGCTAACAGAGTACAACCTGTCTTTTGATACAGCAGTATTGAAACACTCTTTCTGTAGAATCTGCAAGTGGATATTTGGATAGCTCTAACGATTTCGTTGGAAAGGGTAATATTTAATATAAAATCTAGACAGAGGCACTCTCAGAAACTGCTTTGTGATATGTGCATTCAAGTCACAGAGTTGAACATTCCCTTTATTAGAGCAGGTTTGAAACACTCTTTTTGTAGTATCTGGAAGTGGACATTTCGAGCGCTTTGACGCCTTTGGTGAAAAAGGAAATATCTTCCCTAAAAAACTACACAGAAACATTCCCAGAAACTTCTTTGTGATGTGTGTCCTCAACTAACAGAGTTCAACCTCTCTTATGATACAGAAGTTTGGAAACACTCTTTCTGTAGAACATGCAAGGGGATATTTGGATAGCTCGAAGAATTTCGTTGGAAACGGGAATACCTTCATATAAAATCTAGACAGAAGCACTCTCAGAAAGTACTTTGTGATATCTGCATTCAAGTCACAGAGTTGAATATTCCCTTTCTTAGAGCAGGGTTGAAACCGTCTTTTCTTGGAATCTGCAGGTGGATATTTGGATAGCTTTCAGGACATCTTTGGAAACGGGATTACATATACAAAGTAGACAGTAGCATTCTCAGAAGCTTCTCTGTGATGTTTGGTTTTAAGTCACAGAGTTCAGCATTCCCTTTCATAGAGCAGGTTTGAAACACTCTTTCTGTAGTATCTGGAAGTGGACATTTCGAGGGCTTTCAGGCCTATGGTGAAAAAGGAAATATCTTCCCATAAAAACTAGACAGAAGCATTCTCAGAAACTTATTTGTGATGTATGACCTCAACTAACAGAGTTGAACCTTTCTTTTGATACAGCAGTTTGGAAACACTCTTTTTGTAGAATCTGCAAGTGGATATTTGGATAACTTTGAAGATTTCGTTGGAAACGGGAATATCTTCATGTAAAATCGAGACAGAAGCATTCTCAGAAACAGCTTTGTGATGTCTGCATTCACGTCACAGAGTTGAACATTCGCTTTCATAGAGCAGGCTTGAAAAACTCTTTCTGCAGTATCTGGATGTGGACACTTGGAGCGCTTTGACGCTTACGGTGCAAAAGGAAATATCTTTCCATAAAAACTAGACAGAAGCATTCTCACAAACTGGTTTGTGATGCATGTCCTCAACTAACAGAGTTGAACCTTTCTATTTACAGAGCAGTTTTGAAAGACTCAATTGGAGAATCTGCAAGTGGATATTTGGAAAGCTTTAAGGATTTCATTGGAAAACGGAATATCTTCATGTAAAATCTAGACAGAGGCATTCTCAGAAACTTCTTTGTGATGTGTGTCCTCAAGTAACAGAGTACAACCTGTCGTTTGATACAGCAGTTTGGAAACACTCTTTCTGTAGAATCTGCAAGTGGATAGTTGGATAGCTCAAGCTATTTCGTTGGAAACGGGAATATCTTCATATAAACTCTAGACAGAAGCACTCTCAGAAACTACTTTGTGATATCTGTATTCAAGTCACAGAGTTGAATATTCCCTTTCTTAGAGCAGGTTTGAAACCGTCTTTTCGTGGAATCTGCAGGAGGATATTTGGATAGCTTTGAGGATTTCGTTGGAAAAGGGATTACATGTACAAAGTAGATAGCAGCATTCTCAGAAGCTGCTTTGTGATGTTTGCTTTTTATTCACAGAGTTGAACATTCCCTTTCATAGAGCAGGTTTCAAACACTCTTTCTGTAGTATCTGGAAGAGGACATTTCGAGCGCTTTCAGGCCTATGGTGAACAAGGAAATATCTTCCCATACAAACTGGTCAGAAGCATTCTCACAAACTGGTTTGGGATGTATGTCCTCAGCTAACAGAGGACAACCTGTCTTTTGATACAGCAGTATTGAAACACTCTTTCTGTAGAATCTGCAAGTGGATATTTGGATAGCTCTAACGATTTCGTTGGAAACGGGAATACTTAATATAAAATCTAGACAGAGGCACTCTCAGAAACTGCTTTGTGATATGTGCATTCAAGTCACAGAGTTGAACATTCCCTTTATTGGAGCAGGTTTGAAACCCTCTTTTTGTAGTATCTGGAAGTGGACTTTTGGAGCGCTTTGACGCCTTTGGTGAAAAAGGAAATATCTTCCCATAAAAACTAGACAGAAGCATTCCCAGAAACTTCTTTGTGATGTGTGTCCTCAACTAACAGAGTTCAACCTCTCTTATGATACAGAAGTTTGGAAACACTCTTTTTGTAGTATAAGCAAGGGGATATTTGGATAGCTCGAAGTATTTCGTTGGAAACGGGAATATCTTCATATAAAATCTAGACAGAAGCACTCTCAGAAACTACTTTGTGCTATCTGCATTCAAGTCACAGAGTTGAATATTCCCTTTCTTAGAGCAGGTTTGAAACCGTCTTTTCGTGGAATCTGCAGGAGGATATTTGGATAGCTTTGGGGATTTCGTCGGAAACGGGATTACATATACAAAGCAGACAGCAGCATTCTCAGAAACTGCTTTGTGATGTTTGCTTTTAAGTCACAGAGTTGAACATTCACTTTCATGGAGCAGGTTTCAAACACTCTTTCTGTAGTATCTGGAAGAGGACATTTCGAGCGCTTTCAGGCCTATGGTGAACAAGGAAATATCTTCCCTTACAAACTTGACAGAAGCATTCTCACAAACTGGTTTGGGATGTATGTCCTCAGCTAACAGAGTACAACCTGTCTTTTGATACAGCAGTATTGAAACACTCTTTCTGTAGAATCTGCAAGTGGATATTTGGATAGCTCTAACGATTTCGTTGGAAACGGGAATACTTTAGTATAAAATCTAGACACAGGCACTCTCAGAAACTGCTCTGTGATATGTGCATTCAAGTCACAGAGTTGAACATTCCCTTTATTAGAGCAGGTTTGAAACACTGTTTTTGTAGTATCTGGAAGTGGACATTTGGAGCGCTTTGACGCCTTTGCTGAAAAAGGAAATATCTTCTCTTCAAAACTAGACAGAAGCATTCCCAGAAACTTCTTTGTGATGTGTGCCCTCAACTAACAGAGTTCAACCTCTCTTATGATACAGAAGTTTGGAAACACTCTTTTTGTAGTATATGCAAGGGGATATTTGGATAGCTCGAAGTATTTCGTTGGAAACGGGAACATCTTCATATAAAATCTAGACAGAAGCACTCTCAGAAACTACTTTGTGATATCTGCATTCAAGTCACAGAGTTGAATATTCCCTTTCTTAGAGCAGGTTTGAAACCGTCTTTTCTTGGAATCTGCAGGTTGATATTTGGATAGCTTTCAGGATTTCGTTGGAAACGGGATTACATATACAAAGTAGACAGTAGCATTCTCAGAAGCTTCTCTGTGATGTTTGCTTTTAAGTCACAGAGTTGAGCATTCCCTTTCATAGAGCAGGTTTGAAACACTCTTTCTGTAGTATCTGGAAGTGGACATTTCGAGGGCTTTCAGGCCTATGGTGAAAAAGGAAATATCTTCCCATAAAAACTAGACAGAAGCATTCTCAGAAACTTATTTGTGATGTATGTCCTCAACTAACAGAGTTGAACCTTTCTTTTGATACAGCAGTTTGGAAACACTCTTTTTGTAGAATCTGCAAGTGGATATTTGGATAACTTTGAAGATTTCGTTGGAAACGGGAATATCTTCATGTAAAATCGAGACAGAAGCATTCTCAGAAACTGCTTTGTGATGTCTGCATTCACATCACAGAGTTGAACATTCGCTTTCATAGAGCAGGTTTGAAACACTCTTTCTGTAGTATCTGGATGTGGACACTTGGAGCGCTTTGACGCTTACGGTGCAAAAGGAAATATCTTCCCATAAAAACTAGACAGAAGCATTCTCACAAACTGGTTTGTGATGTATGTCCTCAGCTAACAGAGTTGAACCTTTCTATTTACAGAGCTGTTTTGAAAGACTCTATTGGAGAATCTGCAAGTGGATATTTGGAAAGCTTTAAGGATTTCATCGTAAACCGGAATATCTTCAGGTAAAATCTCGACAAGGGCATTCTCAGAAACTTCTTTGTGATGTGTGTCCTCAAGTAACAGAGTACAACCTGTCTTTTGATACAGCAGTTTGGAAACACTCTTTCTGTAGAATCTACAAGTGGATATTTGGATAGCTGAAGCTATTTCGTTGGAAACGGGAATAGCTTCCTATAAACTCTAGACAGAAGCACTCTCAGAAACTACTTTGTGATATCTGTATTCAAGTCACAGAGTTGAATATTCCTTTTCTTAGAGCAGGTTTGAAACCGTCTTTTCGTGGAATCTGCAGGAGGATATTTGGATAGCTTTGAGGATTTCGTCGGAAACGGGATTACATATACAAAGTAGGCAGCATTCTCAGAAGCTGCTTTGTGATGTTTGCTTTTAAGTCACAGAGTTGAACATTCCCTTTCAGAGAGCAGGTTTCAAACACTCTTTCTGTAGTATCTGGAAGAGGACATTTCGAGCGCTTTCAGGCCTATGGTGAACAAGGAAATATCTTCCCATACAAACTTGACAGAAGCATTCTCACAAACTGGTTTGTGATGTAGGTCCTCAACTAACAGAGTACAACCTGTCTTTTGATACAGCAGTATTGAAACACTCTTTCTGTAGAATCTGCAATTGGATATTTGGATAGCTCTAACGATTTCGTTGGAAACGGGAATACTTTAATATAAAATCTAGACAGAGGCACTCTCAGAAACTGCTCTGTGATATGTGCATTCAAGTCACAGAGTTGAACATTCCCTTTATTAAAGCAGGTTTGAAACACTGTTTTTGTAGTATCTGGAAGTGGACATTTGGAGCGCTTTGACGCCTTTGCTGAAAAAGGAAATATCTTCTCTTCAAAACTAGACAGAAGCATTCCCAGAAACTTCTTTGTGATGTGTGTCCTCAACTAACAGAGTTCAACCTCTCTTATGATACAGAAGTTTGGAAACACTCTTTTTGTAGTATATGCAAGGGGATATTTGGATAGCTCGAAGTATTTCTTTGGAAACGGGAATATCTTCATATAAAATCTAGACAGAAGCACTCTCAGAAACTACTTTGTGCTATCTGCATTCAAGTCACAGAGTTGAATATTCCCTTTCTTAGAGCAGGGTTGAAACCGTCTTTTCTTGGAATCTGCAGGTGGATATTTGGATAGCTTTCAGGATTTCTTTGGAAACGGGATTACATACACAGAGTAGACAGTAGCATTCTCAGAAGCTTCACTGTGATGTTTCCTTTTAAGTCACAGAGTTGAGCATTCCCTTTCATAGAGCAGGTTTGAAACACTCTTTCTGTAGTATCTGGAAGTGGACATTTCGAGGGCTTTCAGGCCTATGGTGAAAAAGGAAATATCTTCCCATAAAAACTAGACAGAAGCATTCTCAGAAACTTATTTGTGATGTGTGTCCTCAACTAACAGAGTTGAACCTTTCTTTTGATACAGGAGTTTGGAAACACTCTTTTTGTAGAATCTGCAAGTGGATATTTGGATAACTTTGAAGATTTCGTTGGAAACGGGAATATCTTCATGTAAAATCGAGACAGATCCATGGTGTATATGGGCCCATTTCCTTAATCCAGTCTATCATTGTTGGACATTTGGGCTGGTTCCAAGTCTTTGCTATTGTGAATAGTGCCGCAATAAACATACGTGTGCATGTGTCTTTATAGCACCATGATTTATAGTCCTTTGGGTATATACCCAGTAATGGGATGGCTGGGTCAAATGGTATTTCTAGTTCTAGATCCCTGAGGAATCGCCACACTGACTTCCACAATGGTTGAACTACTTTACAATCCCAGAAACACTCTTTCTGTAGTATCTTGATGTGGACACTTGGAGCGCTTTGATGCTTACGGTGAAAAAGGAAGTATCTTCCCATAAAAACTACACAGAAG
>NC_000018.10:20747798-20751369 GCF_000001405.40 Homo sapiens
AGCATTCTCACAAAGTGGTTTGTGATGTATGTCCTCAACTAACAGAGTTGAAACTTTCTATTTACAGAGCAGTTTTGAAAGACTCTATTGGAGAATCTGCAAGTGGATATTTGGAAAGCTTTAAGGATTTCATTGGAAACCGGAATATCTTCAGGTAAAATCCAGACAGAGGCATTCTCAGAAACTTCTTTGTGATGTGTGTCCTCAAGTAACAGAGTACAACCTGTCTTTTGATACAGCAGTTTGGAAACACTCTTTCTGTAGAATCTACAAGTGGATATTTGGATAGCTCAAGCTATTTCGTTGGAAACGGGAATAGCTTCATATAAACTCTAGACAGAAGCACTCTCAGAAACTACTTTGTGATATCTGTATTCAAGTCACAGAGTTGAATATTCCCTTTCTTAGAGCAGGTTTGAAACCGTCTTTTCGTGGAATCTGCAGGAGGATATTTGGATAGCTTTGGGGATTTCGTCGGAAACGGGATTACATATACAAAGTAGACAGCAGCATTCTCAGAAGCTGCTTTGTGATGTTTGCTTTTAAGTCACAGAGTTGAACATTCCCTTTCAGAGAGCAGGATTCAAACACTCTTTCTGTAGTATCTGGAAGAGGACATTTCGAGCGCTTTCAGGCCTATGGTGAACAAGGAAATATCTTCCCATACAAACTTGAGAGAAGCATTCTCACAAACTGGTTTGGGATGTATGTCCTCAGCTAACAGAGTACAACCTGTCTTTTGATACAGCAGTATTGAAACACACTTTCTGTAGAATCTGCAAGTGGATATTTGGATAGCTCTAACGATTTCGTTGGAAACGAGAATACTTTAGTATAAAATCTAGACACAGGCACTCTCAGAAACGGCTTTGTGATATGTGCATGCAAGTCACAGAGTTGAACATTCCCTTTATTGGAGCAGGTTTGAAACACTCTTTCTGTAGTATCTGGAAATGGACATTTGGAGCGCTTTGACGCCTTTGGTGAAAAAGGAAATATCTTCCCATAAAAACTAGACAGAAGCATTCTCAGAAACTTCTTTGTGATGTGTGTCCTCAAATAACAGAGTTCAACCTCTCTTATGATACAGAAGTTTGGAAACACTCTTTCTGTAGAACATGCAAGGGGATATTTGGATAGCTCGAAGAATTTCGTTGGAAACGGGAATACCTTCACATGAAATCTAGACAGAAGCACTCTCAGAAACTACTTTGTGATAACTGCATTCAAGTCAGAGTTGAATATTCCCTTTCTGAGAGCAGGTTTGAATCCGTCTTTTCTTGGAATCTGCAGGTGGATATTTGGATAGCTTTCAGGATTTCGTTGGAAACGGGATTCCATATACAAAGTAGACAGTAGCATTCTCAGAAGCTTCACTGTGATGTTTGCTTTTAAGTCACAGAGTTGAGCATTCCCTTTCATAGAGCAGGTTTGAAACACTCTTTCTGTAGTATCTGGAAGTGGACATTTCGAGGGCTTTCAGGCCTATGGTGAAAAAGGAAATATCTTCCCATAAAAACTAGACAGAAGCATTCTCAGAAACTTATTTGTGATGTGTGTCCTCAACTAACAGAGTTGAACCTTTCTTTTGATACAGCAGTTTGGAAACACACTTTTTGTAGAATCTGCAAGGGGATATTTGGATAACTTTGAAGATTTCGTTGGAAGCGGGAATATCTTCATGTAAAATCGAGACAGAAGCATTCTCAGAAACTGCTTTGTGATCTCTGCATTCACGTCACAGAGTTCAACATTCGCTTTCATAGAGCATGTTTGAAACACTCTTTCTGCAGTATCTGGATGTGGACACTTGGAGCGCTTTGACGCTTACGGTGCAAAAGGAAATATCTTCCCATAAAAATTAGACAGAAGCATTCTCACAAACTGGTTTGTGATGTATGTCCTCAGCTAACAGAGTTGAACCTTTCTATTTACAGAGCTGTTTTGAAAGACTCTATTGGAGAATCTGCAAGTGGATATTTGGAAAGCTTGAAGGATTTCATTGGAAACCGGAATATCTTCAGGTAAAATCTCGACAAGGGCATTCTCAGAAACTTCTTTGTGATGTGTGTCCTCAAGTAACAGAGTACAACCTGTCTTTTGATACAGCAGTTTGGAAACACTCTTTCTGTAGAATCTACAAGTGGATATTTGGATAGCTCAAGCTATTTCGTTGGAAACGGGAATAGCTTCATATAAACTCTAGACAGAAGCACTCTCAGAAACTACTTTGTGATATCTGTATTCAAGTCACAGAGTTGAATATTCCCTTTCTTAGAGCAGGTTTGAAACCGTCTTTTCGTGGAATCTGCAGGAGGATATTTGGATAGCTTTGGGGATTTCGTCGGAAACGGGATTACATATACAAAGCAGACAGCAGCATTCTCAGAAGCTGCTTTCTGATGTTTGCTTTTAAGTCACAGAGTTTAACATTCCCTTTCAGAGAGCAGGATTCAAACACTCTTTCTGTAGTATCTGGAAGAGGACATTTCGAGCGCTTTCAGGCCTACGGTGAACAAGGAAATATCTTCCCATACAAACTTGACAGAAGCATTCTCACAAACTGGTTTGGGATGTATGTCCTCAGCTAACAGAGTACAACCTGTCTTTTGATACAACAGTATTGAAACACTCTTTCTGTAGAATCTGCAAGTGGATATTTGGATAGCTCTAACGATTTCGTTGGAAACGGGAATACTTTAGTATAAAATCTACACACAGGCACTCTCAGAAACTGCTCTGTGATATGTGCATTCAAGTCACAGAGTTGAACATTCCCTTTATTAGAGCAGGTTTGAAACACTCTTTTTGTAGTATCTGGAAGTGGACATTTGGAGCGCTTTGACGCCTTTGCTGAAAAAGGAAATATCTTCTCTTCAAAACTAGACAGAAGCATTCCCAGAAACTTCTTTGTGATGTGTGTCCTCAACTAACAGAGTTCAACCTCTCTTATGATACAGTAGTTTGGAAACACTCTTTTTATAGTATATGCAAGGGGATATTTGGATAGCTCGAAGTATTTCGTTGGAAACGGGAATATCTTCATATAAAATCTAGACAGAAGCACTCTCAGAAACTACTTTGTGATATCTGCATTCAAGTCACAGAGTTGAATATTCCCTTTCTTAGAGCAGGTTTGAAACCGTCTTTTCTTGGAATCTGCAGGTTGATATTTGGATAGCTTTCAGGATTTCGTTGGAAACGGGATTACATATACAAAGTAGACAGTAGCATTCTCAGAAGCTTCTCTGTGATGTTTGCTTTTAAGTCACAGAGTTGAGCATTCCCTTTCATAGAGCAGGTTTGAAACACTCTTTCTGTAGTATCTGGAAGTGGACATTTCGAGGGCTTTCAGGCCTATGGTGAAAAAGGAAATATCTTCCCATAAAAACTAGACAGAAGCATTCTCAGAAACTTATTTGTGATGTGTGTCCTCAACTAACAGAGTTGAACCTTTCTTTTGATACAGCAGTTTGGAAACACTCTTTTTGTAGAATCTGCAAGTGGATATTTGGATAACTTTGAACATTTCGTTGGAAGCGGGAATATCTTCATGTAAGATCGAGACAGA
>NC_000018.10:20751469-20813083 GCF_000001405.40 Homo sapiens
TCTGTGTAGTTTTTATGGGAAGATACTTCCTTTTTCACCGTAAGCATCAAAGCGCTCCAAGTGTCCACATCAAGATACTACAGAAAGAGTGTTTCTGGGATTGTAAAGTAGTTCAACCATTGTGGAAGTCAGTGTGGCGATTCCTCAGGGATCTAGAACTAGAAATACCATTTGACCCAGCCATCCCATTACTGGGTATATACCCAAAGGACTATAAATCATGGTGCTATAAAGACACATGCACACGTATGTTTATTGCGGCACTATTCACAATAGCAAAGACTTGGAACCAGCCCAAATGTCCAACAATGATAGACTGGATTAAGGAAATGTGGCCCATATACACCATGGAATACTATGCAGCCATAAAAAATGATGTGTTCATATCATTTGTAGGGACATGGATGAAATTGGAAAATATCATTCTCAGTAAACTATCGCAAGAACAAAAAACGAAACACCGCATATTCTCACTCATAGGTGGGAATTGAACAATGAGATCACATGGACACAGGAAGGGGAATGTCACACTCTGGGGAATGTGGTGGGGTCGGGGGATGGAGGGAGGGATAGCATTGGGAGATATGCCTAATGCTAGATGACACATTAGTGGGTGCAGCGCACCAGCATGGCAGATGTATACATATGTAACTAACCTGCACAATGTGCACATGTACCCTAAGCTTAGAGTATAATAAAAAAAAAAAAAGCATTCTCACAAACTGGTTTGTGATGTATGTCCTCAGCTAACAGAGTTGAAACTTTCTATTTACAGAGCAGTTTGGAAAGACTCAATTGGAGAATCTGCAAGTGGATATTTGGAAAGCTTTAAGGATTTCATTGGAAACCGGAATATCTTCAGGTAACATCTAGACAAGGGCATTCTCAGAAACGTCTTTGTGACCTGTGTACTCAAGTAACAGAGTACAACCTGTCTTTTGATACAGCATTTTGGAAACACTCATTCTGTAGAACCTGCAAGTGGATATTCGGATAGCTCAAGCTATTTCGTTGGAAACGGGAATAGCTTCATATAAACTCTAGACAGAAGCACTGTCAGAAACTACTTTCTGATATCTGTATTCAAGTCACAGAGTTGAATATTCCCTTTCTTAGAGCAGGTTTGAAACCGTCTTTTCGTGGAATCTGCAGGAGTATATTTGGATAGCTTTGAGGATTTCGTTGGAAACGGGATTACATATACAAAGTAGACAGCAGCATTCTCAGAAGCTGCTTTGTGATGTTTGCTTTTAAGTCACAGAGTTGAACATTCCCTTTTATAGAGCAGGTTTCAAACACTCTTTCTGTAGTATCTGGAAGAGGACATTTCGAGCGCTTTCAGGCCTATGGTGAACAAGGAAATATCTTCCCATACAAACTTTTCAGAAGCATTCCCACAAACTGGTTTGGGATGTATGTCCTCAGCTAACAGAGTACAACCTGTCTTTTGATACAGCAGTATTGAAACACTCTTTCTGTAGAATCTGCGAGTGGATATTTGGATAGCTCTAACGATTTCGTTGGAAACGGGAATACATTAGTATAAAATCTAGACACAGGCACTCTCAGAAACTGCTCTGTGATATGTGCATTCAAGTCACAGAGTTGAACATTCCCTTTATTAGAGCAGGTTTGAAACACTCTTTTTGTAGTATCTGGAAGTGGACATTTGGAGCGCTTTGACGCCTTTGCTGAAAAAGGAAATATCTTCTCTTCAAAACTAGACAGAAGCATTCCCAGAAACTTCTTTGTGATGTGTGTCCTCAACTAACAGAGTTCAACCTCTCTTATGATACAGAAGTTTGGAAACACTCTTTTTGTAGTATATGCAAGGGGATATTTGGATAGCTCGAAGTATTTCGTTGGAAACGGGAATATCTTCATATAAAATCTAGACAGAAGCACTCTCAGAAACTACTTTGTGATATCTGCATTCAAGTCACAGAGTCGAACATTCCCTTTCTTAGAGCAGGTTTGAAACCGTCTTTTCTTGGAATCTGCAGGCGGATATTTGGAAAGCTTTCAGGAATTCCTTGGAAAGGGGATTACATATACAAAGTAGACAGTAGCATTCTCAGAAGCTTCTCTGTGATGTTTGGTTTTAAGTCACAGAGTTCAGCATTCCCTTTCATAGAGCAGGTTTGAAACACTCTTTCTGTAGTATCTGGAAGTGGACATTTCGAGGGCTTTCAGGCCTATGGTGAAAAAGGAAATATCTTCCCATAAAAACTAGACAGAAGCATTCTCAGAAACTTATTTGTGATGTATGACCTCAACTAACAGAGTTGAACCTTTCTTTTGATACAGCAGTTTGGAAACACTCTTTTTGTATAATCTGCAAGTGGATATTTGGATAACTTTGAAGATTTCGTTGGAAACGGGAATATCTTCATGTAAAATCGAGACAGAAGCATTCTCAGAAACTGCTTTGTGATGTCTGCATTCACGTCACAGAGTTGAACATTCGCTTTCATAGAGCAGGTTTGAAACACTCTTTCTGTAGTATCTGGATGTGGACACTTGGAGCGCTTTGATGCTTACGGTGCAAAAGGAAATATCTTTCCATAAAAACTAGACAGAAGCATTCTCACAAACTGGTTTGTGATGTATGTTCTCAGCTAACAGAGTTGAACCTTTCTATTTACAGAGCTGTTTTGAAAGACTCTATTGGAGAATCTGCAAGTGGATAATTGGAAAGCTTTAAGGATTTCATTGGAAACCGGAATATCTTCAGGTAAAATCTCGACAAGGGCATTCTCAGAAACTTCTTTGTGATGTGTGTCCTCAAGTAACAGAGTACAACCTGTCTTTTGATACAGCAGTTTGGAAACACTCTTTCTGTAGAATCTACAAGTGGATATTTGGATAGCTGAATCTATTTCGTTGGAAACGGGAATAGCTTCATATAAACTCTAGACAGAAGCACTCTCAGTAACTAATTTGTGATATCTGTATTCAAGTCACAGAGTTGAATATTCCCTTTCTTAGATCAGGTTTGAAACCGTCTTTTCGTGGAATCTGCAGGAGGATATTTGGATAGCTTTGAGGATTTCGTTGGAAACCGGATTACATATACAAAGTAGACAGCAGCATTCTCAGAAGCTGCTTTGTGATGTTTGCTTTTAAGTCACAGAGTTGAACATTCCCTTTCATAGAGCAGGTTTCAAACACTCTTTCTGTAGTATCTGGAAGAGGACATTTCGAGCGCTTTCAGGCATATGGTGAACAAGGAAATATCTTCCCGTACAAACTTGACAGAAGCATTCTCACAAACTGGTTTGGGATGTATGTCCTCAGCTAACAGAGTACAACCTGTCTTTTGATACAGCAGTATTGAAACACTCTTTCTGTAGAATCTGCAAGTGGATATTTGGATAGATCTAACGATTTCGTTGGAAACGGGAATACTTTAGTATAAAATCTAGACACAGGCACTCTCAGAAACTGCTCTGTGATATGTGCATTCAAGTCACAGAGTTCAACATTCCCTTTATTAGAGCAGGTTTGAAACACTCTTTTTGTAGTATCTGGAAGTGGACATTTGGAGCGCTTTGACGCCTTTGCTGAAAAAGGAAATATCTTCTCTTCAAAACTAGACAGAAGCATTCCCAGAAACTTCTTTGTGATGTGTGTCCTCAACTAACAGAGTTCAACCTCTCTTATGATACAGAAGTTTGGAAACACTCTTTTTGTAGTATATGCAAGGGGATATTTGGATAGCTCGAAGTATTTCGTTGGAAACGGGAATATCTTCATATAAAATCTAGACAGAAGCACTCTCAGAAACTACTTTGTGCTATCTGCATTCAAGTCACAGAGTTGAATATTCCCTTTCTCAGAGCAGGGTTGAAACCGTCTTTTCTTGGAATCTGCAGGTGGATATTTGGATAGCTTTCAGGATTTCTTTGGAAACGGGATTACATATACAGAGTAGACAGTAGCATTCTCAGAAGCTTCACTGTGATGTTTGCTTTTAAGTCACAGAGTTGAGCATTCCCTTTCATAGAGCAGGTTTGAAACACTCTTTCTGTAGTATCTGGAAGTGGACATTTCGAGGGCTTTCAGGCCTATGGTGAAAAAGGAAATATCTTCCCATAAAAACTAGACAGAAGCATTCTCAGAAACTTATTTGTGATGTATGACCTCAACCAACAGAGTTGAACCTTTCTTTTGATACAGCAGTTTGGAAACACTCTTTTTGTAGAATCTGCAAGTGGATATTTGGATAACTTTGAAGATTTCGTTGGAAACGGGAATATCTTCATGTAAAATCGAGACAGAAGCATTCTCAGAAACAGCTTTGTGGTGTCTGCATTCACGTCACAGAAGTTGAACATTCGCTTTCATAGAGCAGGTTTGAAACACTCTTTCTGCAGTATCTGGATGTGGACACTTGGAGCGCTTTGACGCTTACGGTGTAAAAGGATATATCTTCCCATAAAAACTAGACAGAAGCATTCTCACAAACTGGTTTGTGATGTATGTCCTCAGCTAACAGAGTTGAACCTTTCTATTTACAGAGCTGTTTTGAAAGACTCTATTGGAGAATCTGCAAGTGGATATTTGGAAAGCTTTAAGGATTTCATTGGAAACCGGAATATCTTCACGTAAAATCTCGACAAGGGCATTCTCAGAAACTTCTTTGTGATGTGTGTCCTCAAGTAACAGAGTACAACCTGTCTTTTGATACAGCAGTTTGGAAACACTCTTTCTGTAGAATCTGCAAGTGGATAGTTGGATAGCTCAAGCTGTTTCATTGGAAAGGGGAATATCTTCATATAAACTACTAGAGAGAAGCACTCTCAGAAACTACTTTGTGATATCTGTATTCAAGTCACAGAGTTGAATATTCCCTTTCTTAGAGCAGGTTTGAAACCGTCTTTTCGTGGAATCTGCAGGAGGATATTTGGATAGCTTTGGGGATTTCGTCGGAAACGGGATTACATATACAAAGTAGACAGCAGCATTCTCAGAAGCTGCTTTGTGATGTTTGCTTTTAAGTCACAGAGTTGAACATTCCCTTTCAGAGAGCAGGTTTCAAACACTCTTTCTGTAGTATCTGGAAGAGGACATTTCGAGCGCTTTCAGGCCTATGGTGAACAAGGAAATATCTTCCCATAAAAACTTGACAGAAGCATTCTCACAAACTGGTTTGGGATGTATGTCCTCAGCTAACAGAGTACAACCTGTCTTTTGATACAGCAGTATTGAAACACTCTTTCTGTAGAATCTGCAAGTGGATATTTGGATAGCTCTAACGATTTCGTTGGAAACGGGAATACTTTAGTATAAAATCTAGACACAGGCACTCTCAGAAACTGCTCTGTGATATGTGCATTCAAGTCACAGAGTTCAACATTCCCTTTATTAGAGCAGGTTTGAAACACTCTTTTTGTAGTATCTGGAAGTGGACATTTGGAGCGCTTTGACGCCTTTGCTGAAAAAGGAAATATCTTCTCTTCAAAACTAGACAGAAGCATTCCCAGAAACTTCTTTGTGATGTGTGCCCTCAACTAACAGAGTTCAACCTCTCTTATGATACAGAAGTTTGGAAACACTCTTTTTGTAGTATATGCAAGGGGATATTTGGATAGCTCGAAGTATTTCGTTGGAAACGGGAATATCTTCATATAAAATCTAGACAGAAGCACTCTCAGAAACTACTTTGTGATATCTGCATTCAAGTCACAGAGTTGAATATTCCCTTTCTTAGAGCAGGGTTGAAACCGTCTTTTCTTGCAATCTGCAGGTTGATATTTGGATAGATTTCAGGATTTCGTTGGAAACGGGATTACATATACAAAGTAGACAGTAGCATTCTCAGAAGCTTCTCTGTGATGTTTGCTTTTAAGTCACAGAGTTGAGCATTCCCTTTCATAGAGCAGGTTTGAAACACTCTTTCTGTAGTATCTGGAAGTGGACATTTCGAGGGCTTTCAGGCCTATGGTGAAAAAGGAAATATCTTCCCCTAAAAACTAGACAGAAGCATTCTCAGAAACTTATTTGTGATGTGTGTTTTCAACTAACAGAGTTGAACGTTTCTTTTGATACAGCAGTTTGGAAACACACTTTCTGTAGAATCTGCAAGGGGATATTTGGATAACTTTGAAGATTTCGTTGGAAGCGGGAATATCTTCATGTAAAATCGAGACAGAAGCATTCTCAGAAACAGCTTTGTGATGTCTGCATTCACGTCACAGAGTTGAACATTCGCTTTCATAGAGCAGGTTTGAAACATTCTTTCTGCAGTATCTGGATGTGGACAGTTGGAGCGCTTTGACGCTTACGGTGCAAAAGGAAATATCTTCCCATAAAAATTAGACAGAAGCATTCTCACAAACTGGTTTGTGATGTATGTCCTCAGCTAACAGAGTTGAACATTTCTATTTACAGAGCAGTTTTGAAAGACTCTATTGGAGAATCTGCAAGTGGATATTTGGAAAGCTTTAAGGATTCCATTGGAAACCGGAATATCTTCAGGTAAAATCTCGACAAGGGCATTCTCAGAAACTTCTTTGTGATGTGTGTCCTCAAGTAACAGAGTACAACCTGTCTTTTGATACAGCAGTTTGGAAACACTCTTTCTGTAGAATCTACAAGTGGATATTTGGATAGCTCAAGCTATTTCGTTGGAAACGGGAATAGCTTCATATAAACTCTAGACAGAAGCACTCTCAGAAACTACTTTGTGATATCTGTATTCAAGTCACAGAGTTGAATATTCCCTTTCTTAGAGCAGGTTTGAAACCGTCTTTTCGTGGAATCTGCAGGAGGATATTTGGATAGCTTTGGGGATTTCGTCGGAAACGGGATTACATATACAAAGCAGACAGCAGCATTCTCAGAAGCTGCTGTGTGATGTTTGCTTTTAAGTCAGAGAGTTGAACATTCCCTTTCATAGAGCAGGATTCAAACACTCTTTCTGTAGTATCTGGAAGAGGACATTTCGAGCGCTTTCAGGCATATGGTGAACAAGGAAATATCTTCCCATAAAAACTTGACAGAAGCATTCTCACAAACTGGTTTGGGATGTATGTCCTCAGCTAACAGAGTACAACCTGTCTTTTGATACAGCAGTATTGAAAGACTCTTTCTGTAGAATCTGCAAGTGGATATTTGGATAGCTCTAACGATTTCTTTGGAAACGGGAATAACTTAATGCAAAATCTAGACAGAGGCACTCTCAGAAACTGCTTTGTGATATGTGCATTCAAGTCACAGAGTTGAACATTCCCTTTATTGGAGCAGGTTTGAAACACTCTTTTTGTAGTATCTGGAAGTGGACATTTGGAGCGCTTTGACGCCTTTGGTGAAAAAGGAAATATCTTCCCATAAAAACTAGACAGAAACATTCCCAGAAACTTCTTTGTGATGTGTGTCCTCAACTAACAGAGTTCAACCTCTCTTATGATACAGAAGCTTGGAAACACTCTTTTTGTAGTATATGCAAGGGGATATTTGGATAGCTCGAAGTATTTCGTTGGAAACGGGAATATCTTCATATAAAATCTAGACAGAAGCACTCTCAGAAACTACTTTGTGCTATCTGCATTCAAGTCACAGAGTTGAATATTCCCTTTCTTAGAGCAGGCTTGAAACCGTCTTTTCTTGGAATCTGCAGGTGGATATTTGGATAGCTTTCAGGATTTCGTTGGAAACGGGATTACATATACAAAGTAGACAGTAGCATTCTCAGAAGCTTCTCTGTGATGTTTGCTTTTAAGTCACAGAGTTGAGCATTCCCTTTCATAGAGCAGGTTTGAAACACTCTTTCTGTAGTATCTGGAAGTGGACATTTCGAGGGCTTTCAGGCCTATGGTGAAAAAGGAAATATCTTCCCCTAAAAACTAGACAGAAGCATTCTCAGAAACTTATTTGTGATGTATGTCCTCAACTAACAGAGTTGAACCTTTCTTTTGATACAGCAGTTTGGAAACACTCTTTTTGTAGAATCTGCAAGTGGATATTTGGATAACTTTGAAGATTTCGTTGGAAACGGGAATATCTTCATGTAAAATCGAGACAGAAGCATTCTCAGAAACAGCTTTGTGATGTCTGCATTCACGTCACAGAGTTGAACATTCGCTTTCATAGCGCAGGTTTGAAAAACTCTTTCTGCAGTATCTGGATGTGGACACTTGGAGCGCTTTGACGCTTACGGTGCAAAAGGAAATATCTTCCCATTAAAACTAGACAGAAGCATTCTCACAAACTGGATTGTGATGTATGTCCTCAGCTAACAGAGTTGAACCTTTCTATTTACAGAGCTGTTTTGAAAGACTCTATTGGAGAATCTGCAAGTGGATATTTGGAAAGCTTGAAGGATTTCATTGGAAACCGGAATATCTTCAGGTAAAATCTCGACAAGGGCATTCTCAGAAACTTCTTTGTGATGTGTGTCCTCAAGTAACAGAGTACAACCAGTCTTTTGATACAGCAGTTTGGAAACACTCTTTCTGTAGAATCTACAAGTGGATATTTGGATAGCTCAAGCTATTTCGTTGGAAACGGGAATAGCTTCATATAAACTCTAGACAGAAGCACTCTCAGAAACTACTTTGTGATATCTGTATTCAAGTCACAGAGTTGAATATTCCCTTTCTTAGAGCAGGTTTGAAACCGTCTTTTCGTGGAATCTGCAGGAGGATATTTGGATAGCTTTGGGGATTTCGTCGGAAACGGGATTACATATACAAAGCAGACAGCAGCATTCTCAGAAGCTGCTTTGTGATGTTTGCTTTTAAGTCACAGAGTTGAACATTCCCTTTCAGAGAGCAGGTTTCAAACTCTCTTTCTGTAGTATCTGGAAGAGGACATTTCGAGCGCTTTCAGGCCTATGGTGAACTAGGAAATATCTTCCCATACAAACTTGACAGAAGCATTCTCACAAACTGGTTTGGGATGTATGTCCTCAGCTAACAGAGTACAACCTGTCTTTTGATACAGCAGTATTGAAACACTCTTTCTGTAGAATCTGCAAGTGGATATTTGGATAGATCTAACGATTTCGTTGGAAACGGGAATACTTTAGTATAAAATCTAGACACAGGCACTCTCAGAAACTGCTCTGTGATATGTGCATTCAAGTCACAGAGTTCAACATTCCCTTTATTAGAGCAGGTTTGAAACACTCTTTTTGTAGTATCTGGAAGTGGACATTTGGAGCGCTTTGACGCCTTTGCTGAAAAAGGAAATATCTTCTCTTCAAAACTAGACAGAAGCATTCCCAGAAACTTCTTTGTGATGTGTGCCCTCAACTAACAGAGTTCAACCTCTCTTATGATACAGAAGTTTGGAAACACTCTTTTTGTAGTATATGCAAGGGGATATTTGGATAGCTCGAAGTATTTCGTTGGAAACGGGAATATCTTCATATAAAATCTAGACAGAAGCACTCTCAGAAACTACTTTGTGATATCTGCATTCAAGTCACAGAGTTGAATATTCCCTTTCTTAGAGCAGGTTTGAAACCGTCTTTTCTTGGAATCTGCAGGTTGATATTTGGATAGCTTTCAGGATTTCGTTGGAAACGGGATTACATATACAAATTAGACAGTAGCATTCTCAGAAGCTTCTCTGTGATGTTTGCTTTTAAGTCACAGAGTTGAGCATTCCCTTTCATAGAGCAGGTTTGAAACACTCTTTCTGTAGTATCTGGAAGTGGACATTTCGAGGGCTTTCAGGCCTATGGTGAAAAAGGAAATATCTTCCCATAAAAACTAGACAGAATCATTCTCAGAAACTTATTTGTGATGTATGTCCTCAACTAACGGAGTTGAACCTTTCTTTTGATACAGCAGTTTGGAAACACTCTTTTTGTAGAATCTGCAAGTGGATATTTGGATAACTTTGAAGATTTCGTTGGAAACGGGAATATCTTCATGTAAAATCGAGACAGAAGCATTCTCAGAAACTGCTTTGTGATGTCTGCATTCACGTCACAGAGTTGAACATTCGCTTTCATAGAGCAGGTTTGAAACACTCTTACTGTAGTATCTGGATGTGGACACTTGGAGCGCTTTGACTCTTACGGTGCAAAAGGAAATATCTTCCCATAAAAACTAGACAGAAGCATTCTCACAAACTGGTTTGTGATGTATGTCCTCAGCTAAGAGAGTTGAATTTTTCTATTTACAGACCAGTTTTGAAAGACTCAATTGGAGAATCTGCAAGTGGATATTTGGAAGGCTTTAAGGATTTCTTTGGAAACCGGAATATCTTCAGGTAAAATCTAGACAAGGGCATTCTCAGAAACTTCTTTGTGATGTGTGTCCTCAAGTAACATAGTACAACCTGTCTTTTGATACAGCAGTTTGGAAACTCTCTTTCTGTAGAATATGCAAGTGTATATTTGGATAACTCAAGCTATTTCATTGGAAACGGGAATAGCTTCATATAAACTCTAGAGAGAAGCACTCTCAGAAACTACTTTGTGATATCTGTATTCAAGTCACAGAGTTGAATATTCCCTTTCTTACAGCAGGTTTGAAACCGTCTTTTCGTGGAATCTGCAGGAGGATATTTGGATAGCTTTGAGGATTTCGTTGGAAACGGGATTACATGTACAAAGTAGACAGCATCATTCTCAGAAGCTGCTGTGTGATGTTTGCTTTTAAGTCACAGAGTTGAACATTCCCTTTCATAGAGCAGGTTTCCAACACTCTTTCTGTAGTATCTGGAAGAGGACATTTCGAGCGCTTTCAGGCCTATGGTGAACAAGGGATTATCTTCCCATAAAACTTGACAGAAGCATTCCCACAAACTGGTTTGGGATGTATGTCCTCAGCTAACAGAGTACAACCTGTCTTTTGATACAGCAGTATTGAAACACTCTTTCTGTAGAATCTGCAAGTGGATATTTGGATAGCTCTAACGATTTCGTTGGAAACGGGAATACTTTAATATAAAATCTAGACAGAGGCACTCTCAGAAACTGCTTTGTGATATGTGCATTCAAGTCACAGAGTTGAACATTCCCTTTATTGGAGCAGGTTTGAAACACTCTTTTTGTAGTATCTGGAAGTGGACATTTGGAGCGCTTTGACGCCTTTGGTGAAAAAGGAAATATCTTCCCATAAAAACTAGACAGAAGCATTCCCAGAAACTTCTTTGTGATGTGTGTCCTCAACTAACAGAGTTCAACCTCTCTTATGATACAGTAGTTTGGAAACACTCTTTTTATAGTATATGCAAGGGGATATTTGGATAGCTCGAAGTATTTCGTTGGAAACGGGAATATCTTCATATAAAATCTAGACAGAAGCACTCTCAGAAACTACTTTGTGCTATCTGCATTCAAGTCACAGAGTTGAATATTCCCTTTCTCAGAGCAGGGTTGAAACCGTCTTTTCTTGGAATCTGCAGGTGGATATTTGGATAGCTTTCAGGATTTCTTTGGAAACGGGATTACATATACAGAGTAGACAGTAGCATTCTCAGAAGCTTCTCTGTGATGTTTGCTTTTAAGTCACAGAGTTGAGCATTCCCTTTCATAGAGCAGGTTTGAAACACTCTTTCTGTAGTATCTGGAAGTGGACATTTCGAGGGCTTTCAGGCCTATGGTGAAAAAGGAAATATCTTCCCATAAAAACTAGACAGAAGCATTCTCAGAAACTTATTTGTGAAATGTGTCCTCAAGTAACAGAGTTGAACCTTTCTTTTGGTACAGCAGTTTGGAAACACCCTTTTTGTAGAATCTGCAAGTGGATATTTGGATAACTTTGAAGATTTCGTTGGAAACAGGAATATCTTCATGTGAAATCGAGACAGAAGCATTCTCAGAAACTGCTTTGTGATGTCTGCATTCACGTCACAGAGTTGAACATTCGCTTTCATAGAGCAGGTTTGAAAGACTCTTTCTGTAGTATCTGGATGTGGACACTTGGAGCGCTTTGACGCTTACCGTGAAAAAGGAAATATCTTCCCATAAAAACTAGACAGAAGCATTCTCACAAACTGGTTTGTGATGTATGTCCTCAGCTAACAGAGTTGAACCTTTCTATTTACAGAGCAGTTTTGAAAGACTCAATTGGAGAATCCGCAAGTGGATATTTGGAAAGCTTTAAGGATTTCATTAGAAATCGGAATATCTTCAGGTAAAATCTAGACAAGGGCATTCTCAGAAACTTTTTCTCATGTGTGTCCTCAAGTAACAGAGTACAACCGGTCTTTTGATACAGCAGTTTGGAAACATTCTTTCTGTAGAATCTGCAAGTGGATATTTGGATAGCTCAAGCTATTTCGTTGGAAACGGGAATAGCTTCATATAAACTCTAGACAGAAGCACTCTCCGAAACTACTTTGTGCTATCTGCATTCAAGTCACAGAGTTGAATATTCCCTTTCTTAGAGCAGGTTTGAAACCGTCTTTTCGTGGAATCTGCAGGAGGATATTTGGATAGCTTTGGGGATTTCGTCGGAAACGGGATTACATATACAAAGCAGACAGCAGCATTCTCAGAAGCTGCTTTGTGATGTTTGCTTTTAAGTCACAGAGTTGAACATTCCCTTTCAGAGAGCAGGATTCAAACACTCTTTCTGTAGTATCTGGAAGAGGACATTTCGAGCGCTTTCAGGCCTATGGTGAATAAGGAAATATCTTCCCATACAAACTTGACAGAAGCATTCTCACAAACTGGTTTGGGATGTATGTCCTCAGCTAACAGAGTACAACCTGTCTTTTGATACAGCAGTATTGAAACACTCTTTCTGTAGAATCTGCAAGTGGATATTTGGATAGATCTAACGATTTCGTTGGAAACGGGAATACTTTAGTATAAAATCTAGACACAGGCACTCTCAGAAACTGCTTTGTGATCTGTGCATTGAAGTCACAGAGTTGAACATTCCCTTTATTAGAGCAGGTTTGAAACACTCTTTTTGTAGTATCTGGAAGTGGACATTTCGAGCGCTTTGACGCCTTTGGTGAAAAAGGAAATAACTTCCCTAAAAAACCAGACAGAAACATTCCCAGAAACTTCTTTGTGATGTGTGTCCTCAACTAACAGAGTTCAACCTCTCTTATGATACAGAAGCTTGGAAACACTCTTTTTGTAGTATATGCAAGGGGATATTTGGATAGCTCGAAGTATTTCGTTGGAAACGGGAATATCTTCATATAAAATCTAGACAGAAGCACTCTCAGAAACTACTTTGTGATATCTGCATTCAAGTCACAGAGTTGAATATTCCCTTTCTTAGAGCAGGGTTGAAACCGTCTTTTCTTGCAATCTGCAGGTTGATATTTGGATAGATTTCAGGATTTCGTTGGAAACGGGATTACATATACAAAGTAGACAGTAGCATTCTCAGAAGCTTCTGTGTGATGTTTGCCTTTAAGTCACAGAGTTGAACATTCCCTTTCATAGAGCAGGTTTGAAACACTCTATCTGTAGCATCTGGAAGTGGACATTTGGAGCACTTTCAGGCCTATGGTGAAAAAGGAAATATCTTCCCATAAAAACTAGACAGAAGCATTCTCAGAAACTTATTTGTGATGTGTGTCCTCAACTAACAGAGTTGAACCTTTCTTTTGATACAGCAGTTTGGAAACACACATTTTGTAGAATCTGCAAGGGGATATTTGGATAACTTTGAAGATTTCGTTGGAAGCAGGAATATCTTCATGTAAAATCGAGAAAGAAACATTCTCAGAAACTGCTTTGTGATATCTCCATTCACGTCACAGAAGTTGAACATTCCCTTTCATAGAGCAGGTTTGAAAGACTCTTTCTGTAGTATCTGGATGTGGACACTTGGAGCGCTTTGACGCTTACGGTGAAAAAGGAAATATCTTCCCATAAAAACTAGACAGAAGCATTCTCACAAACTGGTTTGTGATGTATGTCCTCAGCTAACAGAGTTGAACCTTTCTATTTACAGAGCAGTTTTGAGAGACTCAATTGGAGAATCTTCATGTGGATATTTGGAAAGCTTTAAGGATTTCATTGGAAATCGGAATATCTTCAGGTAACATCTAGACAAGGGCATTCTCAGAAACTTGTTTGTGTTGTGTGTCCTCAAGTAACAGAGTACAACCTGTCTTTTGATACAGCAGTTTGGAAACACTCTTTATGTAGAATCTGCAAGTGGATAGTTGGATAGCTCAAGCTATTTCGTTGGAAAGGGGAATATGTTCATATAAACTCTAGACAGAAGCACTCTCAGAAACTACTTTGTGATATCTGTATTCAAGTCACAGAGTTGAATATTCCCTTTCTTAGAGCAGGTTTGAAACCGTCTTTTCGTGGAATCTGCAGGAGGATATTTGGATAGCTTTGAGGATTTCGTTGGAAACGGGATTACATGTACAAAGTAGACAGCATCATACTCAGAAGCTGCTGTGTGATGTTTGCTTTTAACTCACAGAGTTGAACATTCCCTTTCATAGAGCAGGTTTCCAACACTCTTTCTGTAGTATCTGGAAGAGGACATTTCGAACGCTTTCAGGCCTATGGTGAACAAGGGAATATCTTCCCATAAAAACTTGACAGAAGCATTCCCACAAACTGGTTTGGGATGTATGTCCTCAGCTAACAGAGTACAACCTGTCTTTTGATAGAGCAGTATTGAAACACTCTTTCTGTAGAATCTGCAAGTGGATATTTGGATAGCTCTAACGATTTCGTTGGAAACGGGAATACTTTAATATAAAATCTAGACAGAGGCACTCTCAGAAACTGCTTTGTGATATGTGCATTCAAGTCACAGAGTTGAACATTCCCTTTATTGGAGCAGGTTTGAAACACTCTTTTTGTAGTATCTGGAAGTGGACATTTGGAGCGCTTTGACGCCTTTGGTGAAAAAGGAAATATCTTCCCATAAAAACTAGACAGAAGCATTCTCAGAAACTTCTTTGTGATGTGTGTCCTCAGCTAACAGAGTTCAACCTCTCTTATGATACAGAAGTTTGGAAACACTCTTTCTGTAGGACATGCAAGGGGATATTTGGATAGCTCGAAGAATTTCGTTGGAAACGGGAATAACTTCATATAAAATCTAGACAGAAGCACTCTCAGAAACTACTTTTTGATATCTGCATTCAAGTCACAGAGTCGAACATTCCCTTTCTTAGAGCAGGTTTGAAACCGTCTTTTCGTGGAATCTGCAGGAGGATATTTGGATAGCTTTCAGGAATTCGTTGGAAACGGGATTACATATACAAAGTAGACAGTAGCATTCTCAGAAGTTTCTCTGTGATGTTTGATTTTAAGTCACAGAGTTGAGCATTCCCTTTCATAGAGCAGGTTTGAAACACTCTTTCTGTAGTATCTGGAAGTGGACATTTCGAGGGCTTTCAGGCCTATGGTGAAAAAGGAAATATCTTCCCATAAAAACTAGACAGAAGCATTCTCAGAAACTTATTTGTGATGTATGACCTCAACTAACAGAGTTGAACCTTTCTTTTGATACAGCAGTTTGGAAACACTCTTTTTGTAGAATCTGCAAGTGGATATTTGGATAACTTTGAAGATTTCGTTGGAAACGGGAATATCTTCATGTAAAATCGAGACAGAAGCATTCTCAGAAACAGCTTTGTGATGTCTGCATTCACGTCACAGAGTTGAACATTCGCTTTCATAGAGCAGGTTTGAAACACTCTTTCTGCAGTATCTGGATGTGGACAATCGGAGCGCTTTGACGCTTACGGTGCAAAAGGAAATATCTTCCCATAAAAACTAGACAGAAAGCATTCTCACAAACTGGTTTGTGATGTATGTTCTCAGCTAACAGAGTTGAACCTTTCTATTTACAGAGCTGTTTTGAAAGACTCTATTGGAGAATCTGCAAGTGGATAATTGGAAAGCTTTAAGGATTTCATTGGAAACCGGAATATCTTCAGGTAAAATCTCGACAAGGGCATTCTCAGAAACTTCTTTGTGATGTGTGTCCTCAAGTAACAGAGTACAACCTGTCTTTTGATACAGCAGTTTGGAAACACTCTTTCTGTAGAATCTACAAGTGGATATTTGGATAGCTGAATCTATTTCGTTGGAAACGGGAATAGCTTCATATAAACTCTAGACAGAAGCACTCTCAGAAACTACTTTGTGATATCTGTATTCAAGACACAGTGTTGAATATTCCCTTTCTTAGAGCAAGTTTGAAACCGTATTTTCGTGGAATCTGCAGGAGGATATTTGGATAGCTTCGAGGATTTCGCTGGAAACGGGATTACATATACAAAGTAGACACCAGCATTCTCAGAAGCTGCTTTGTGATGTTTGCTTTTAAGTCACAGAGTTGAACATTCCCTTTCAGAGAGCAGGTTTCAAACACTCTTTCTGTAGTATCTGGAAGAGGACATTTCGAGCGCTTTCAGGCCTATGGTGAACAAGGAAATATCTTCCCATACAAACTTGACAGAAGCATTCTCACAAACTGGTTTGGGATGTATGTCCTCAGCTAACAGAGTACAACCTGTCTTTTGATACAGCAGTATTGAAACACTCTTTCTGTAGAATCTGCAAGTGGATATTTGGATAGCTCTAACGATTTCGTTGGAAACGGGAATACTTTAGTATAAAATCTAGACACAGGCACTCTCAGAAACTGCTCTGTGATATGTGCATTCAAGTCACAGAGTTGAACATTCCCTTTATTAAAGCAGGTTTGAAACACTGTTTTTGTAGTATCTGGAAGTGGACATTTGGAGCGCTTTGACGCCTTTGCTGAAAAAGGAAATATCTTCTCTTCAAAACTAGACAGAAGCATTCTCAGAAACTTCTTTGTGATGTGTGCCCTCAACTAACAGAGTTCAACCTCTCTTATGATACAGAAGTTTGGAAACACTCTTTCTGTAAAACATGCAAGGGGATATTTGGATAGCTCGAAGAATTTCGTTGGAAACGGGAATACCTTCATATAAAATCTAGACAGAAGCACTCTCAGAAACTACTTTGTGCTATCTGCATTCAAGTCACAGAGTTGAATATTCCCTTTCTTAGAGCAGGGTTGAAACCGTCTTTTCTTGGAATCTGCAGGTGGATATTTGGATAGCTTTCAGGATTTCGTTGGAAACGGGATTACATATACAAAGTAGACAGTAGCATTCTCAGAAGCTTCTCTGTGATGTTTGCTTTTAAGTCACAGAGTTGAGCATTCCCTTTCATAGAGCAGGTTTGAAACACTCTTTCTGTAGTATCTGGAAGTGGACATTTCGAGGGCTTTCAGGCCTATGGTGAAAAAGGAAATATCTTCCAATAAAAACTAGACAGAAGCATTCTCAGAAACTTATTTGTGATGTGTGTCCTCAACTAACAGAGTTGAACCTTTCTTTTGATACAGCAGTTTGGAAACACTTTTTGTAGAATCTGCAAGTGGATATTTGGATAACTTTGAAGATTTCTTTGGAAACGGGAATATCTTCATGTAAAATCGAGACAGAAGCATTCTCAGAAACAGCTTTGTGATGTCTGCATTCACGTCACACAGTTGAACATTCGCTTTCATAGCGCAGGTTTGAAACACTCTTTCTGCAGTATCTGGATGTGGACACTTGGAGCGCTTTGACGCTTACGGTGCAAAAGGAAATATCTTCCCATTAAAACTAGACAGAAGCATTCTCACAAACTGGTTTGTGATGTGAGTCCTCAGCTAACAGAGTTGAACCTTTCTATTTACAGAGCTGTTTTGAAAGACTCTATTGGAGAATCTGCAAGTGGATATTTGGAAAGCTTTAAGGATTTCATTGGAAACCGGAATATCTTCAGGTAAAATCTCGACAAGGGGCATTCTCAGAAACTTCTTTGTGATGTGTGTCCTCACGTAACACAGTACAACCTGTCTTTAGATACAGCAGTTTGGAAACACTCTTTCTGTAGAATCTGCAAGTGGATAGTTGGATAGCTCAAGCTATTTCGTTGGAAAGGGGAATATCTTCATATAAACTCTAGACAGAAGCACTCTCAGAAACTACTTTGTGATATCTGTATTCAAGTCACAGAGTTGAATATTCCCTTTCTTAGAGCAGGTTTGAAACCGTCTTTTCGTGGAATCTGCAGGAGGATATTTGGATAGCTTTGGGGATTTCGTCGGAAACGGGATTACATATACAAAGTAGACAGCAGCATTCTCAGGAGCTGCTTTGTGATGTTTGCTTTTAAGTCACAGAGTTGAACATTCCCTTTCAGAGAGCAGGTTTCAAACACTCTTTCTGTAGTATCTGGAAGAGGACGTTTCGAGCGCTTTCAGGCCTATGGTGAACAAGGAAATATCTTCCCATACAAACTTGACAGAAGCATTCTCACAAACTGGTTTGGGATGTATGTCCTCAGCTAACAGAGTACAACCTGTCTTTTGATACAGCAGTATTGAAACACACTTTCTGTAGAATCTGCAAGTGGATATTGGGATAGCTCTAACGATTTCGTTGGAAACGAGAATACTTTAGTATAAAATCTAGACACAGGCACTCTCAGAAACTGCTCTGTGATATGTGCATTCAAGTCACAGAGTTGAACATTCCCTTTATTAGAGCAGGTTTGAAACACTGTTTTTGTAGTATCTGGAAGTGGACATTTGGAGCGCTTTGACGCCTTTGCTGAAAAAGGAAATATCTTCTCTTCAAAACTAGACAGAAGCATTCCCAGAAACTTCTTTGTGATGTGTGTCCTCAACTAACAGAGTTCAACCTCTCTTATGATACAGAAGTTTGGAAACACTCTTTTTGTAGTATATGCAAGGGGATATTTGGATAGCTCGAAGTATTTCTTTGGAAACGGGAATATCTTCATATAAAATCTAGACAGAAGCACTCTCAGAAACTACTTTGTGCTATCTGCATTCAAGTCACAGAGTTGAATATTCCCTTTCTTAGAGCAGGGTTGAAACCGTCTTTTCTTGGAATCTGCAGGTGGATATTTGGATAGCTTTCAGGATTTCTTTGGAAACGGGATTACATACACAGAGTAGACAGTAGCATTCTCAGAAGCTTCACTGTGATGTTTGCTTTTAAGTCACAGAGTTGAGCATTCCCTTTCATAGAGCAGGTTTGAAACACTCTTTCTGTAGTATCTGGAAGTGGACATTTCGAGGGCTTTCAGGCCTATGGTGAAAAAGGAAATATCTTCCCATAAAAACTAGACAGAAGCATTCTCAGAAACTTATTTGTGATGTATGACCTCAACCAACAGAGTTGAACCTTTCTTTTGATACAGCAGTTTGGAAACACTCTTTTTGTAGAATCTGCAAGTGGATATTTGGATAACTTTGAAGATTTCGTTGGAAACGGGAATATCTTCATGTAAAATCGAGACAGAAGCATTCAAAGAAACTGCTTTGTGATGTGTGCATTCACGTCACAGAGTTGAACATTCGCTTTCATAGAGCAGGTTTGAAAGACTCTTTCTGTAGTATCTGGATGTGGACACTTGGAGCGCTTTGACGCTTACGGTGAAAAAGGAAATATCTTCCCATAAAAACTAGACAGAAGCATTCTCACAAACTGGTTTGTGATGTATGTCCTCAACTAACGGAGTTGAACCTTTCTATTTACAGAGCAGTTTTGAAAGACTCAATTGGAGAATCTGCAAGTGGATATTTGGAAAGCTTTAAGGATTTCCTTGGAAACCGGAATATCTTCAGGTAAAATCTAGACAGAGGCATTCTCAGAAACTTCTTTGTGATGTGTGTCCTCAAGTAACAGAGTACAACCTGTCTTTTGATACAGCAGTTTGGAAACACTCTTTCTGTAGGATCTGCAAGTGGATAGTTGGATAGCTCAAGCTATTTCGTTGGAAACGGGAATATCTTCATATAAACTCTAGACAGAAGCACTCTCAGAAACTACTTTGTGATATCTGTATTCAAGTCACAGAGTTGAATATTCCCTTTCTTAGAGCAGGTTTGAAACCGTCTTTTCGTGGAATCTGCAGGAGGATATTTGGATAGCTGTGGGGATTTCGTCGGAAACGGGATTACATATACAAAGTAGACAGCAGCATTCTCAGAAGCTGCTTTGTGATGTTTGCTTTTAAGTCACAGAGTTGAACATTCCCTTTCAGAGAGCAGGTTTCAAACACTCTTTCTGTAGTATCTGGAAGAGGACATTTCGAGCGCTTTCAGGCCTATGGTGAACTAGGAAATATCTTCCCATACAAACTTGACAGAAGCATTCTCACAAACTGGTTTGGGATGTATGTCCTCAGCTAACAGAGTACAACCTGTCTTTTGATACAGCAGTATTGAAACACTCTTTCTGTAGAATCTGCAAGTGGATATTTGGATAGCTCTAACGATTTCGTTGGAAACGGGAATACTTTAGTATAAAATCTAGACAGAGGCACTCTCAGAAACTGCTCTGTGATATGTGCATTCAAGTCACAGAGTTGAACATTCCCTTTATTAGAGCAGGTTTGAAACACTCTTTTTGTAGTATCTGGAAGTGGACATTTGGAGCGCTTTGACGCCTTTGCTGAAAAAGGAAATATCTTCTCTTCAAAACTAGACAGAAGCATTCTCAGAAACTTCTTTGTGATGTGTGTCCTCAACTAACAGAGTTCAACCTCTCTTATGATACAGAAGTTTGGAAACACTCTTTCTGTAGAACATGCAAGGGATATTTGGATAGCTCGAAGAATTTCGTTGGAAACGGGAATACCTTCATATAAAATCTAGACAGAAGCACTCTCAGAAACTACTTTGTGCTATCTGCATTCAAGTCACAGAGTTGAATATTCCCTTTCTCAGAGCAGGGTTGAAACCGTCTTTTCTTGGAATCTGCAGGTGGATATTTGGATAGCTTTCAGGATTTCTTTGGAAACGGGATTACATATACAGAGTAGACAGTAGCATTCTCAGAAGCTTCTCTGTGATGTTTGCTTTTAAGTCACAGAGTTGAACATTCCCTTTCATAGAGCAGGTTTGAAACACTCTTTCTGTAGTATCTGGAAGTGGACATTTCGAGCGCTTTCAGGCCTATGGTGAAAAAGGAAATATCTTCCCATAAAAACTAGACAGAATCATTCTCAGAAACTTATTTGTGATGTATGTCCTCAACTAACGGAGTTGAACCTTTCTTTTGATACAGCAGTTTGGAAACACTCTTTTTGTAGAATCTGCAAGTGGATATTTGGATAACTTTGAAGATTTCGTTGGAAACGGGAATATCTTCATGTAAAATCGAGACAGAAGCATTCTCAGAAAGTGTTTTCTGATGTCTGCATTCACGTCACAGAGTTCAACATTCGCTTTCATAGAGCAGAATTGAAACACTCTTTCTGTAGTATCTGGATGTGGACCCTTGGAGCGCTTTGACGCTTATGGTGAAAAAGGAAATATCTTCCCTTAAAAACTAGACAGAAGCATTCTCACAAACTAGTTTCTGATGTATGTCCTCAACTAACAGAGTTGCATCTTTCTATTTACAGAGCAGTTTTGACAGACTCTATTGGAGAATCTACAAGTGGATATTTGGAAAGCTTTAAGGATTTCTTTGGAAACCGGAATATCTTCAGGTAAAATCTAGACAGAGGCATTCTCAGAAACTTCTTTGTGATGTGTGTCCTCAAGTAACAGAGTACAACCTGTCTTTTGATACAGCAGTTTGGAAACACTCTTTCTGTAGAATCTACAAGTGGATATTTGGATAGCTCAAGCTATTTCGTTGGAAACGGGAATAGCTTCATATAAACTCTAGACAGAAGCACTCTCAGAAACTACTTTGTGATATCTGTATTCAAGTCACAGAGTTGAATATTCCCTTTCTTAGAGCAGGTTTGAAACCGTCTTTTCGTGGAATCTGCAGGAGGATATTTGGATAGCTTTGGGGATTTCGTCGGAAACGGGATTACATATACAAAGCAGACAGCAGCATTCTCAGAAGCTGCTTTCTGATGTTTGCTTTTAAGTCACAGAGTTGAACATTCCCTTTCAGAGAGCAGGATTCAAACACTCTTTCTGTAGTATCTGGAAGAGGACATTTCGAGCGCTTTCAGGCCTACGGTGAACAAGGAAATATCTTCCCATACAAACTTGACAGAAGCATTCCCACAAACTGGTTTGGGATGTATGTCCTCAGCTAACAGAGTACAACCTGTCTTTTGATAGAGCAGTATTGAAACACTCTTTCTGTAGAATCTGCAAGTGGATATTTGGATAGCTCTAACGATTTCGTTGGAAACGGGAATACTTTAATATAAAATCTAGACAGAGGCACTCTCAGAAACTGCTCTGTGATATGTGCATTCAAGTCACAGAGTTGAACATTCCCTTTATTAGAGCAGGTTTGAAACACTGTTTTTGTAGTATCTGGAAGTGGACATTTGGAGCGCTTTGACGCCTTTGCTGAAAAAGGAAATATCTTCTCTTCAAAACTAGACAGAAGCATTCCCAGAAACTTCTTTGTGATGTGTGCCCTCAACTAACAGAGTTCAACCTCTCTTATGATACAGAAGTTTGGAAACACTCTTTTTGTAGTATATGCAAGGGGATATTTGGATAGCTCGAAGTATTTCGTTGGAAACGGGAATATCTTCATATAAAATCTAGACAGAAGCACTCTCAGAAACTACTTTGTGATAACTGCATTCAAGTCAGAGTTGAATATTCCCTTTCTGAGAGCAGGTTTGAAACCGTCTTTTCTTGGAGTCTGCAGGTGGATATTTCGATAGCATTCAGGATTTCGTTGGAAACGGGATTCCATATACAAAGTAGACAGTAGCATTCTCAGAAGCTTCTCTGTGATGTTTGCATTTAAGTCACAGAGTTGAGCATTCCCTTTCATAGAGCAGGTTTGAAACACTCTTTCTGTAGTATCTGGAAGTGGACATTTCGAGGGCTTTCAGGCCTATGGTGAAAAAGGAAATATCTTCCCATAAAAACTAGACAGAATCATTCTCAGAAACTTATTTGTGAGGTATGTCCTCAACTAACGGAGTTGAACCTTTCTTTTGATACAGCAGTTTGGAAACACTCTTTTTGTAGAATCTGCAAGTGGATATTTGGATAACTTTGAAGATTTCGTTGGAAACGGGAATATCTTCATGTAAAATCGAGACAGAAGCATTCTCAGAAACAGCTTTGTGATGTCTGCATTAACGTCACAGAGTTGAACATTCGCTTTCATAGAGCAGGTTTGAAACACTCTTTCTGCAGTATCTGGATGTGGACACTTGGAGCGGTTTGACGCTTACGGTGCAAAAGGAAATATCTTCCCATAAAAACTAGACAGAAGCATTCTCACAAACTGGTTTGTGATGTATGTCCTCAACTAACAGAGTTGAACCTTTCTATTTACAGAGCAGTTTTGAAAGACTCAATTGGAGAATCTGCAAGTGGATATTTGGAAAGCTTTAAGGATTTCCTTGGAAACCGGAATATCTTCAGGTAAACTCTAGACAGAGGCATTCTCAGCAAACTTCTTTGTGATGTGTGTCCTCAAGTAACAGAGTACAACCTGTCTTTTGATACAGCAGTTTGGAAACACTCTTTCTGTAGAATCTACAAGTGGATATTTGGATAGCTGAAGCTATTTCGTTGGAAACGGGAATAGCTTCCTATAAACTCTAGACAGAAGCACTCTCAGAAACTACTTTGTGATATCTGTATTCAAGTCACAGAGTTGAATATTCCCTTTCTTAGAGCAGGTTTGAAAGCGTCTTTTCGTGGAATCTGCAGGAGGATATTTGGATAGCTTTGGGGATTTCGTCGGAAACGGGATTACATATACAAAGTAGACAGCAGCATTCTCAGAAGCTGCTTTGTGATGTTTGCTTTTAAGTCACAGAGTTGAACATTCCCTTTCAGAGAGCAGGATTCAAACACTCTTTCTGTAGTATCTGGAAGAGGACATTTCGAGCGCTTTCAGGCCTATGGTGAACAAGGAAATATCTTCCCATACAAACTTGAGAGAAGCATTCTCACAAACTGGTTTGGGATGTATGTCCTCAGCTAACAGAGTACAACCTGTCTTTTGATACAGCAGTATTGAAACACACTTTCTGTAGAATCTGCAAGTGGATATTTGGATAGCTCTAACGATTTCGTTGGAAACGAGAATACTTTAGTATAAAATCTAGACACAGGCACTCTCAGAAACTGCTCTGTGATATGTGCATTCAAGTCACAGAGTTGAACATTCCCTTTATTAGAGCAGGTTTGAAACACTCTTTTTGTAGTATCTGAAAGTGGACATTTGGAGCGCTTTGACGCCTTTGCTGAAAAAGGAAATATCTTCTCTTCAAAACTAGACAGAAACATTCCCAGAAACTTCTTTGTGATGTGTGTCCTCAACTAACAGAGTTCAACCTCTCTTATGATACAGAAGCTTGGAAACACTCTTTTTGTAGTATATGCAAGGGGATATTTGGATAGCTCGAAGTATTTCGTTGGAAACGGGAATATCTTCATATAAAATCTAGACAGAAGCACTCTCAGAAACTACTTTGTGCTATCTGCATTCAAGTCACAGAGTTGAATATTCCCTTTCTTAGAGCAGGCTTGAAACCGTCTTTTCTTGGAATCTGCAGGTGGATATTTGGATAGCTTTCAGGATTTCGTTGGAAACGGGATTACATATACAAAGTAGACAGTAGCACTCTCAGAAACTACTTTGTGATATCTGCATTCAAGTCACAGAGTTGAACATTCCCATTCATAGAGCAGGTTTGAAACACTCTTTCTGTAGTATCTGAAAGTGGACATTTCGAGCGCTTTCAGGGCTACGTTGAAAAAGGAAACATCTTCCCATAAAAACTAGACAGTAGTATTCTCAGAAACTTATTGTGATGTGTGTCCTCAACTAACAGAGTTGAACCTTTCTTTTGATACAGCAGTTTGAAAACACTCTTTTTGTAGAATCTGCAAGTGGATATTTGGATAACTTTGAAGATTTCGTTGGAAACGGGAAAATCTTCATGTAAAATCGAGACAGAAGCATTCTCAGAAACAGCTTTGTGATGTCTGCATTCACGTCACACAGTTGAACATTCGCTTTCATAGAGCAGGTTTGAAACACTCTTTCTGCAGTATCTGGATGTGGACACTTGGAGCGCTTTGACGCTTACGGTGCAAAAGGAAATATCTTCCCATAAAAACTAGACAGAAGCATTCTCACAAACTGGTTTGTGATGTATGTCCTCAGCTAACAGAGTTGAACCTTTCTGTTTACAGACCAGTTTTGAAAGACTCAATTGGAGAACCTGAAAGTGGATATTTGGAAAGCTTTAAGGATTTCATTGGAAACCGGAATATCTTCAGGTAAAACCTAGACAAGGGCATTCTCAGAAACTCATTTGTGATGTGTGTCCTCAAGTAACAGAGTACCACCTGTGTTTTGATACAGCAGTTTGGAAACACTCTTTCTGTAGAATCTGCAAGTCGATATTCGGATAGCTCAAGCTATTTCGTTGGAAACGGGAATAGCTTCATATAAACTCTAGACAGAAGCACTGTCAGAAACTACTTTGTGATATCTGTATTCAAGTCACAGAGTTGAATATTCCCTTTCTTAGAGCAGGTTTGAAACCGTCTTTTCGTGGAATCTGCAGGAGGATATTTGGATAGCTTTGAGGATTTCGTTGGAAACGGGATTACATATACAAAGTAGACAGCAGCATTCTCAGAAGCTGCTTTGTGATGTTTGCTTTTAAGTCACAGAGTTGAACATTCACTTTCATAGAGCAGGTTTCAAACACTCTTTCTGTAGTATCTGGAAGAGGACATTTCGAGCGCTTTCAGGCCTATGGTGAACAAGGAAATATCTTCCCATAGAAACTTGACAGAAGCATTCTCACAAACTTGTTTGGGATGTATGTCCTCAGCTAACAGAGTACAACCTGTCTTTTGATACAGCAGTATTGAAACACTCTTTCTGTAGAATCTGCAAGTGGATATTTGGATAGCTCTAACGATTTCTTTGGAAACGGGAATACTTTAGTATAAAATCTAGACAGAGGCACTCTCAGAAACTGCTTTGTGATATGTGCATTCAAGTCACAGAGTTGAACATTCCCTTTATTGGAGCCGGTTTGAAAAACTCTTTTTGTAGTATCTGGAAGTGGACATTTGGAGCGCTTTGACGCCTTTGGTGAAAAAGGAAATATCTTCCCATAAAAACTAGACAGAAGCATTCTCAGAAACTTCTTTGTGATGTGTGTCCTCAACTAACAGAGTTCAACCTCTCTTATGATACAGAAGTTTGGAAACACTCTTTCTGTAGAACATGCAAGGGGATATTTGGATAGCTCGAAGAATATCGTTGGAAACGGGAATACCTTCATATAAAATCTACACAGAAGCACTCTCAGAAACTACTTTGTGATAACTGCATTCAAGTCACAGTTGAATATTCCGTTTCTGAGAGCAGGTTTGAAACCGTCTTTTCTTGGAATCTGCAGGTGGATATTTGGATAGCTTTCAGGATTTCGTTGGAAATGGGATTCCATATTCAAAGTAGACAGTAGCATTCTCAGAAGCTTCTCTGTGATGTTTGCTTTTAAGTCACAGAGTTGAGCATTCCCTTTCATAGAGCAGGTTTGAAACACTCTTTCTGTAGTATCTGGAAGTGGACATTTCGAGGGCTTTCAGGCGTATGGTGAAAAAGGAAATATCTTCCCATAAAAACTAGACAGAAGTATTCTCAGAAACTTATTGTGATGTGTGTCCTCAACTAACAGAGTTGAACCTTTCTTTTGATACAGCAGTTTGAAAACACTCTTTTTGTAGAATCTGCAAGTGGATATTTGGATAACTTTGAAGATTTCGTTGGAAACGGGAAAATCTTCATGTAAAATCGAGACAGAAGTACTCTCAGAAACTGCTTTGTGATGTCTGCATTCACGTCACAGAGTTGAACATTCGCTTTCATAGAGCAGGTTTGAAACACTCTTTCTGTAGTATCTGGATGTGGACACTTGGAGCGCTTTGACGCTTACGGTGCAAAAGGAAATATCTTCCCATAAAAACTAGACAGAAGCATTCTCACAAACTGGTTTGTGATGTATGTCCTCAGCTAACAGAGTTGAACCTTTCTATTTACAGAGCTGTTTTGAAAGACTCTATTGGAGAATCTGCAAGTGGATATTTGGAAAGCTTTAAGGATTTCATTGGAAACCGGAATATCTTCAGGTAAAATCTCGACAAGGGCATTCTCAGAAACTTCTTTGTGATGTGTGTCCTCAAGTAACAGAGTACAACCTGTCTTTTGGTACAGCAGTTTGGAAACACTCTTTCTGTAGAATCTACAAGTGGATATTTGGATAGCTGAAGCTATTTCGTTGGAAACGGGAATAGCTTCCTATAAACTCTAGACAGAAGCACTCTCAGAAACTACTTTGTGATATCTGTATTCAAGTCACAGAGTTGAATATTCCCTTTCTTAGAGCAGGTTTGAAACCGTCTTTTCGTGGAATCTGCAGGAGGATATTTGGATAGCTTTGGGGATTTCGTCGGAAACGGGATTACATATACAAAGTAGACAGCAGCATTCTCAGAAGCTGCTTTGTGATGTTTGCTTTTAAGTCACAGAGTTGAACATTCCCTTTCAGAGAGCAGGATTCAAACACTCTTTCTGTAGTATCTGGAAGAGGACATTTCGAGCGCTTTCAGGCCTATGGTGAACAAGGAAATATCTTCCCATACAAACTTGAGAGAAGCATTCTCACAAACTGGTTTGGGATGTATGTCCTCAGCTAACAGAGTACAACCTGTCTTTTGATACAGCAGTATTGAAACACACTTTCTGTAGAATCTGCAAGTGGATATTTGGATAGCTCTAACGATTTCGTTGGAAACGAGAATACTTTAGTATAAAATCTAGACACAGGCACTCTCAGAAACTGCTCTGTGATATGTGCATTCAAGTCACAGAGTTGAACATTCCCTTTATTAGAGCAGGTTTGAAACACTCTTTTTGTAGTATCTGGAAGTGGACATTTGGAGCGCTTTGACGCCTTTGCTGAAAAAGGACATATCTTCTCTTCAAAACTAGACAGAAGCATTCTCAGAAACTTCTTTGTGACGTGTGTCCTCAACTAACAGAGTTCAACCTCTCTTATGATACAGACGTTTGGAAACACTCTTTTTGGAGAATATGCCAGAGGATATTTGGATAGCTGGAAGTATTTCGTTGGAGACGGTAATATCTTCATATAAAATCTAGACAGAAGCACTCTCAGAAACTACTTTGTGATATCTGCATTCAAGTCACAGAGTCGAACATTCCCTTTCTTAGAGCAGGTTTGAAACCGTCTTTTCGTGGAATCTGCAGGAGGATATTTGGATAGCTTTCAGGAATTCGTTGGAAACGGGATTACATATACAAAGTAGACAGTAGCATTCTCAGAAGCTTCTCTGTGATGTTTGCTTTTAAGTCACAGAGTTGAGCATTCCCTTTCATAGAGCAGGTTTGAAACACTCTTTCTGTAGTATCTGGAAGTGGACATTTCGAGGGCTTTCAGGCCTATGGTGAAAAAGGAAATATCTTCCCATAAAAACTAGACAGAAGCATTCTCAGAAACTTATTTGTGATGTATGTCCTCAACTAACAGAGTTGAACCTTTCTTTTGATACAGCAGTTTGGAAACACTCTTTTTGTAGAATCTGCAAGTGGATATTTGGATAACTTTGAAGATTTCGTTGGAAACGGGAATATCTTCATGTAAAATCGAGACAGAAGCATTCTCAGAAACTGCTTTGTGATGTCTGCATTCACGTCACAGAGTTGAACATTCGCTTTCATAGAGCAGGTTTGAAACACTCTTACTGTAGTATCTGGATGTGGACACTTGGAGCGCTTTGACTCTTACGGTGCAAAAGGAAATATCTTCCCATAAAAACTAGACAGAAGCATTCTCACAAACTGGTTTGTGATGTATGTCCTCAGCTAACAGAGTTGAACCTTTCTATTTACAGAGCTGTTTTGAAAGACTCTATTGGAGAATCTGCAAGTGGATATTTGGAAAGCTTTAAGGATTTCATTGTAAACCGGAATATCTTCAGGTAAAATCTCGACAACGGCATTCTCAGAAACTTCTTTGTGATGTGTGTCCTCAAGTAACAGAGTACAACCAGTCTTTTGATACAGCAGTTTGGAAACACTCTTTCTGTAGAATCTGCAAGTGGGTATTTGGATAGCTCAAGCTATTTCGTTGGAAGCGGGAATAGCTTCATATAAACTCTAGACAGAAGCACTCTCAGAAACTACTTTGTGATATCTGTATTCAAGTCACAGAGTTGAATATTCCCTTTCTTAGAGCAGGTTTGAAAGCGTCTTTTCGTGGAATCTGCAGGAGGATATTTGGATAGCTTTGGGGATTTCGTCGGAAACGGGATTACATATACAAAGTAGACAGCAGCATTCTCAGAAGCTGCTTTGTGATGTTTGCTTTTAAGTCACAGAGTTGAACATTCCCTTTCAGAGAGCAGGATTCAAACACTCTTTCTGTAGTATCTGGAAGAGGACATTTCGAGCGCTTTCAGGCCTATGGTGAACAAGGAAATATCTTCCCATACAAACTTGAGAGAAGCATTCTCACAAACTGGTTTGGGATGTATGTCCTCAGCTAACAGAGTACAGCCTGTCTTTTGATAGAGCAGTATTGAAACACTCTTTCTGTAGAATCTGCAAGTGTATATTTGGATAGCCCTAACAATTTCGTTGGAAGCGGGAATACTTTAGTATAAAATCTAGACAGAGGCACTCTCAGAAACTGCTCTGTGATATGTGCATTCAAGTCACAGAGTTGAACATTCCCTTTATTAGAGCAGGTTTGAAACACTGTTTTTGTAGTATCTGGAAGTGGACATTTGGAGCGCTTTGACGCCTTTGCTGAAAAAGGAAATATCTTCTCTTCAAAACTAGACAGAAACATTCCCAGAAACTTCTTTGTGATGTGTGTCCTCAACTAACAGAGTTCAACCTCTCTTATGATACAGAAGTTTGGAAACACTCTTTCTGTAGAACATGCAAGGGGATATTTGGATAGCTCGAAGAATTTCGTTGGAAACGGGAATAACTTCATATAAAATCTAGACAGAAGCACTCTCAGAAAGTACTTTGTGATATCTGCATTCAAGTCACAGAGTTGAATATTCCCTTTCTTAGAGCAGGGTTGAAACCGTCTTTTCTTGGAATCTGCAGGTGGATATTTGGATAGCTTTCACGACATCTTTGGAAACGGGATTACATATACAAAGTAGACAGTAGCATTCTCAGAAGCTTCTCTGTGATGTTTGCATTTAAGTCACAGAGTTGAGCATTCCCTTTCATAGAGCAGGTTTGAAACACTCTTTCTGTAGTATCTGGAAGTGGACATTTCGAGGGCTTTCAGGCCTATGGTGAAAAAGGAAATATCTTCCCATAAAAACTAGACAGAAGCATTCTCAGAAACTTATTTGTGATGTGTGTCCTCAACTAACAGAGTTGAACCTTTCTTTTGATACAGGAGTTTGGAAACACTCTTTTTGTAGAATCTGCAAGTGGATATTTGGATAACTTTGAAGATTTCGTTGGAAACGGGTATATCTTCATGTAAAATCGAGACAGAAGCATTCTCAGAAACTGCTTTGTGATGTCTGCATTCACGTCACAGAGTTGAACATTCGCTTTCATAGAGCAGGTTTGAAAGACTCTTTCTGTAGTATCTGGATGTGGACACTTGGAGCGCTTTGACGCTTACGATGAAAAAGGAAATATCTTCCCATAAAAACTAGACAGAAGCATTCTCACAAACTGGTTTGTGATGTATGTCCTCAACTAACAGAGTTGAAACTTTCTATTTACAGAGCAGTTTTGAAAGACTCTATTGGAGAATCTGCAAGTGGATATTTGGAAAGCTTTAAGGATTTCATTGGAAACCGGAATATCTTCAGGTAAAATCTCGACAAGGGCCTTCTCAGAAACTACTTTGTGATGTGTGTCCTCAAGTAACAGAGTACAACCTGTCTTTCGATACAGCAGTTTGGAAACACTCTTTCTGTAGAATCTGCAAGTGGATAGTTGGATAGCTCAAGCTATTTCGTTGGAAACGGGAATAGCTTCATATAAACTCTAGACAGAAGCACTCTCAGAAACTACTTTGTGATATCTGTATTCAAGTCACAGAGTTGAATATTCCCTTTCTTAGAGCAGGTTTGAAACCGTCTTTTCGTGGAATCTGCAGGAGGATATTTGGATAGCTTTGAGGATTTCGTTGGAAAAGGGATTACATGTACAAAGTAGATAGCAGCATTCTCAGAAGCTGCTGTGTGATGTTTGCTTTTAAGTCACAGAGTTGAACATTCCCTTTCATAGAGCAGGTTTCAAACACTCTTTCTGTAGTATCTGGAAGAGGACATTTCGAGCGCTTTTAGGCCTATGGTGAACAAGGAAATATCTTCCCATAAAAACTTGACAGAAGCATTCTCACAAACTGGTTTGGGATGTATGTCCTCAGCTAACAGAGTACAACCTGTCTTTTGATACAGCAGTATTGAAACACTCTTTCTGTAGAATCTGCAAGTGGATATTTGGATAGCTCTAACGATTTCGTTGGAAACGGGAATACTTTAGTATAAAATCTAGACAGAGGCACTCTCAGAAACTGCTTTGTGATATGTGCATTCAAGTCACAGAGTTGAACATTCCCTTTATTAGAGCAGGTTTGAAACACTCCTTTGTATTATCTGGAAGTGGACATTTGGAGCGCTTTGACGCCTTTGGTGAAAAAGGAAATATCTTCCCATAAAAACCAGACAGAAGCATTCTCAGAAACTTCTTTGTGATGTGTGTCCTCAACTAACAGAGTTCAACCTCTCTTATGATACAGAAGTTTGGAAATACTCTTTTTGTAGAATATGCAAGGGGATATTTGGATAGCTCGAAGTATTTCGTTGGAAACGGGAATATCTTCATATAAAATCTAGACAGAAGCACTCTCAGAAACTACTTTGTGATATCTGCATTCAAGTCACAGAGTTGAATATTCCCTTTCTTAGAGCAGGTTTGAAACCGTCTTTTCTTGGAATCTGCAGGTTGATATTTGGATAGCTTTCAGGATTTCGTTGGAAACGGGATTACATATACAAAGTAGACAGTAGCATTCTCAGAAGCTTCTCTGTGATGTTTGCTTTTAAGTCACAGAGTTGAGCATTCCCTTTCATAGAGCAGGTTTGAAACACTCTTTCTGTGGTATCTGGAAGGGGACATTTCGAGGGCTTTCTGGCCTATGGTGAAAAAGGAAATATCTTCCCATAAAAACTAGACAGAAGCATTCTCAGAAACTTATTTGTGATGTGTGTCCTCAACTAACAGATTTGAACCTCTCTTTTGATACAGCAGTTTGGAAACACTCTTTTTGTAGAATCTGCAAGTGGATATTCGGATAACTTTGAAGATTTCGTTGGAAACGGGAATATCTTCATGTAAAATCGAGACAGAAGCATTCTCAGAAACTGCTTTGTGATGTCTGCATTCACGTCACAGAGTTGAACATTCGCTTTCATAGAGCAGGTTTGAAAGACTCTTTTTGTAGTATCTGGATGTGGACACTTGGAGCGCTTTGACGCTTACGATGAAAAAGGAAATATCTTCCCATAAAAACTAGACAAAAGCATTCTCAAAAACTGGTTTGTGATGTATGTCCTCAACTAACAGTGTTGAACCTTTCTATTTACAGAGCTGTTTTGAAAGACTCAATTGGAGAATCTGCAAGTGGATATTTGGAAAGCTTTAAGGATTTCATTGGAAACCGGAATATCTTCAGGTAAAATCTAGACAGAGGCCTTCTCAGAAACTACTTTGTGATGTGTGTCCTCAAGTAACAGAGTACAACCTGTCTTTCGATACAGCAGTTTGGAAACACTCTTTCTGTAGAATCTGCAAGTGGATAGTTGGATAGCTCAAGCTATTTCGTTGGAAACGGGAATAGCTTCATATAAACTCTAGACAGAAGCACTCTCAGAAACTACTTTGTGATATCTGTATTCAAGTCACAGAGTTGAATATTCCCTTTCTTAGAGCAGGTTTGAAACCGTCTTTTCGTGGAATCTGCAGGAGGATATTTGGATAGCTTTGGGGATTTCGTCGGAAACGGGATTACATATACAAAGCAGACAGCAGCATTCTCAGAAGCTGCTGTGTGATGTTTGCTTTTAAGTCACAGAGTTGAATATTGCCTTTCATAGAGCAGGTTTCCAACACTCTTTCTGTAGTATCTGGAAGAGGACATTTCGAGCGCTTTCAGCCCTATGGTGTACAAGGAAATATCTTCCCATAAAAACTTGACAGAAGCATTCCCACAAACTGGTTTGGGATGTATGTCCTCAGCTAACAGAGTACAACCTGTCTTTTGATACAGCAGTATTGAAACACTCTTTCTGTAGAATCTGCAAGTGGATATTTGGATAGCTCTAACGATTTCGTTGGAAACGGGAATACATTAGTATAAAATCTAGACACAGGCACTCTCAGAAACTGCTCTGTGATATGTGCATTCAAGTCACAGAGTTGAACATTCCCTTTATTAGAGCAGGTTTGAAACACTCTTTTTGTAGTATCTGGAAGTGGACATTTGGAGCGCTTTGACGCCTTTGCTGAAAAAGGAAATATCTTCTCTTCAAAACTAGACAGAAGCATTCTCAGAAACTTTTTGTGATGTGTGTCCTCAACTAACAGAGTTCAACCACTCTTATGTTACAGAAGTTTGGAAACACTCTTTTTGTAGAATATGCAAGGGGATATTTGGATAGCTCGAAGTATTTCGTTGGAAACGGGAATATCTTCATATAAAATCTAGACAGAAGCACTCTCAGAAACTACTTTGTGATATCTGCATTCAAGTCACAGAGTTGAATATTCCCTTTCTTAGAGCAGATTTGAAACGGTCTTTTCTTGGAATCTGCAGGTGGATATTTGGATAGCTTTCAGGATTTCGTTGGAAACGGGATTACTTATACAAAGTAGACAGTAGCATTCTCAGAAGCTTCTCTGTGATGTTTGCATTTAAGTCACAGAGTTGAGCATTCCCTTTCATAGAGCAGGTTTGAAACACTCTTTCTGTAGTATCTGGAAGTGGACATTTCGAGGGCTTTCAGGCCTATGGTGAAAAAGGAAATATCTTCCCATAAAAACTAGACAGAATCATTCTCAGAAACTTATTTGTGAGGTATGTCCTCAACTAACGGAGTTGAACCTTTCTTTTGATACAGCAGTTTGGAAACACTCTTTTTGTAGAATCTGCAAGTGGATATTTGGATAACTTTGAAGATTTCGTTGGAAACGGGAATATCTTCATGTAAAATCGAGACAGAAGCATTCTCAGAAACAGCTTTGTGGTGTCTGCATTCACGTCACAGAGTTGAACATTCGCTTTCATAGAGCAGGTTTGAAACACTCTTTCTGCAGTATCTGGATGTGGACACTTGGAGCGCTTTGACGCTTACGGTGTAAAAGGATATATCTTCCCATAAAAACTAGACAGAAGCATTCTCACATACTGGTTTGTGATGTATGTCCTCAGCTAACAGAGTTGAACCTTTCTATTTACAGAGCTGTTTTGAAAGACTCTATTGGAGAATCTGCAAGTGGATATTTGGAAAGCTTTAAGGATTTCATTGGAAACCGGAATATCTTCAGGTAAAATCTCGACAAGGGCATTCTCAGAAACTTCTTTGTGATGTGTGTCCTCAAGTAACAGAGTACAACCTGTCTTTTGATACAGCAGTTTGGAAACACTCTTTCTGTAGAATCTACAAGTGGATATTTGGATAGCTCAAGCTATTTCGTTGGAAAGGGGAATATGTTCATATAAACTCTAGACAGAAGCACTCGCAGAAACTACTTTGTGATATCTGTATTCAAGTCACAGAGTTGAATATTCCCTTTCTTAGAGCAGGTTTGAAAGCGTCTTTTCGTGGAATCTGCAGGAGGATATTTGGATAGCTTTGGGGATTTCGTCGGAAAAGGGATTACATATACAAAGTAGACAGCAGCATTCTGAGAAGCTGCTTTGTGATGTTTGCTTTTAAGTCACAGAGTTGAACATTCCCTTTCAGAGAGCAGGTTTCAAACACTCTTTCTGTAGTATCTGGAAGAGGACATTTCAAGCGCTTTCAGCCCTATGGTGAACAAGGAAATATCTTCCCATACAAACTTGACAGAAGCATTCTCACAAACTGGTTTGGGATGTATGTCCTCAGCTAACAGAGTACAACCTGTCTTTTGATACAGCAGTATTGAAACACTCTTTCTGTAGAATCTGCAAGTGGATATTTGGATAGCTCTAACGATTTCGTTGGAAACGGGAATACTTTAGTATAAAATCTACACACAGGCACTCTCAGAAACTGCTTTGTGATATGTGCACTCAAGTCACATAGTTGAACATTCCCTTTATTAGAGCAGGTTTGAAACACTCTTTTTGTAGTATCTGGAAGTGGACATTTGGAGCGCTTTGACGCCTTTGGTGAAAAAGGAAATATCTTCCGTAAAAAACTAGACAGAAGCATTCTCAGAAACTTCTTTGTGATGTGTTTCCTCAACTAACAGAGTTCAACCTCTCTTATGATACAGAAGTTTGGAAACACTCTTTCTGTAGAACAAGCAAGGGGATATTTGGATAGCCTGAAGAATTTCGTTGGAAACGGGAATACCTTCATATAAAATCTAGACAGAAGCACTCTCAGAAACTACTTTGTGATAACTGCATTCAAGTCACAGTTGAATATTCCGTTTCTGAGAGCAGGTTTGAAACCGTCTTTTCTTGGAATCTGCAGGTGGATATTTGGATAGCTTTCAGGATTTCGTTGGAAATGGGATTCCATATTCAAAGTAGACAGTAGCATTCTCAGAAGCTTCTCTGTGATGTTTGCCTTTAAGTCACAGAGTTGAACATTCCCTTTCATAGAGCAGGTTTGAAACACTCTATCTGTAGCATCTGGAAGTGGACATTTCGAGCGCTTTCAGGCCTATGGTGAATAAGGAAATATCTTCCCATAAAAACTAGACAGAAGCATTCTCAGAAACTTATTTGTGATGTGTGTCCTCAACTAACAGTGTTGAACCTTTCTTTTGATTCAGCAGTTTGGAAACACTCTTTTTGTAGAATCTGCAAGTGGATATTTGGAAAACTTTGAAGATTTCATTGGATACGGGAATATCTTCATGTAAAATCGAGAAAGAAGCATTCTCAGAAACACCTTTGTGATGTCTGCATTCACGTCACACAGTTGAACATTCGCTTTCATAGCGCAGGTTTGAAACACTCTTTCTGCAGTATCTGGATGTGGACACTTGGAGCGCTTTGACGCTTACGGTGCAAAAGGAAATATCTTCCCATTAAAACTAGACAGAAGCATTCTCACAAACTGGTTTGTGATGTATGTCCTCAGCTAACAGAGTTGAACCTTTCTGTTTACAGACCAGTTTTGAAAGACTCAATTGGAGAACCTGAAAGTGGATATTTGGAAAGCTTTAAGGATTTCATTGGAAACCGGAATATCTTCAGGTAAAACCTAGACAAGGGCATTCTCAGAAACTCATTTGTGATGTGTGTCCTCAAGTAACAGAGTACCACCTGTGTTTTGATACAGCAGTTTGGAAACACTCTTTCTGTAGAATCTGCAAGTCGATATTCGGATAGCTCAAGCTATTTCGTTGGAAACGGGAATAGCTTCATATAAACTCTAGACAGAAGCACTCTCAGAAACTACTTTGTGATATCTGTATTCAAGTCACAGAGTTGAATATTCCCTTTCTTAGAGCAGGTTTGAAACCGTCTTTTCGTGGAATCTGCAGGAGGATATTTGGATAGCTTTGGGGATTTCGTCGGAAACGGGATTACATATACAAAGTAGACAGCAGCATTCTCAGAAGCTGCTTTGTGATGTTTGCTTTTAAGTCACAGAGTTGAACATTCCCTTTCAGAGAGCAGGTTTCAAACACTCTTTCTGTAGTATCTGGAAGAGGATATTTCGAGCGCTTTCAGGCCTATGGTGAACAAGGAAATATCTTCCCATACAAACTTGACAGAAGCATTCTCACAAACTGGTTTGGGATGTATGTCCTCAGCTAACAGAGTACAACCTGTCTTTTGATACAACAGTATTGAAACACTCTTTCTGTAGAATCTGCAAGTGGATATTTGGATAGCTCTAACGATTTCGTTGGAAACGGGAATACTTTAGTATAAAATCCTACACACAGGCACTCTCAGAAACTGCTCTGTGATATGTGCATTCAAGTCACAGAGTTGAACATTCCCTTTATTAGAGCAGGTTTGAAACACTGTTTTTGTAGCATCTGGAAGTGGACATTTGGAGCGCTTTGACGCCTTTGCTGAAAAAAGAAATATCTTCTCTTCAAAACTAGACAGAAGCATTCCCAGAAACTTCTTTGTGATGTGTGTCCTCAACTAACAGAGTTCAACCTCTCTTATGATACAGTAGTTTGGAAACACTCTTTTTATAGTATATGCAAGGGGATATTTGGATAGCTCGAAGTATTTCGTTGGAAACGGGAATATCTTCATATAAAATCTAGACAGAAGCACTCTCAGAAACTACTTTGTGATAACTGCATTCAAGTCAGAGTTGAATATTCGTTTATGAGAGCAGGTTTGAAACCGTCTTTTCTTGGAATCTGCAGGAGGATATTTGGATAGCTTTCAGGATTTCGTTGGAAACGGGATTCCATATACAAAGTAGACAGTAGCATTCTCAGAAGCTTCTCTGTGATGTTTGCCTTTAAGTCACAGAGTTGAACATTCCCTTTCATAGAGCAGGTTTGAAACACTCTATCTGTAGCATCTGGAAGTGGACATTTCGAGCGCTTTCAGGCCTATGGTGAATAAGGAAATATCTTCCCATAAAAACTAGACAGAAGCATTCTCAGACTTATTTCTGATGTGTGTCCTCAACTAACAGAGTTGAACCTTTCTTTTGATACAGCTGTTTGGAAACACACTTTTTGTAGAATCTGCAAGGGGATATTTGGATAACTTTGAAGCTTTCGTTGGAAACGGGAATATCTTCATGTAAAATCGAGACAGAAGCTTTCTCAGAAACTGCTTTGTGATGTCTGCATTCAGGTCACCGAGTTGAACATTCGCTTTCATAGAGCAGGTTTGAAAGACTCTTTCTGTAGTATCTGGATGTGGACACTTGGAGCGCTTTGACGCTTACGGTGAAAAAGGAAATATCTTCCCATAAAAAGTAGACAGAAGCATTCTCACAAACTGGTTTGTGATGTGTGTCCTCAGCTAACAGAGTTGAACCTTTCTATTTACAGAGCTGTTTTGAAAGACTCTATTGGAGAATCTGCAAGTGGATATTTGGAAAGCTTTAAGGATTTCATTGGAAACCGGAATATCTTCAGGTAAAATCTCGACAAGGGCATTCTCAGAAACTTCTTTGTGATGTGTGTCCTCAAGTAACAGAGTACAACCTGTCTTTTGATACAGCAGTTTGGAAACACTCTTTCTGTAGAATCTGCAAGTGGATAGTTGGATAGCTCAAGCTGTTTCATTGGAAAGGGGAATATCTTCATATAAACTCTAGAGAGAAGCACTCTCAGAAACTACTTTGTGATATCTGTATTCAAGTCACAGAGTTGAATATTCCCTTTCTTACAGCAGGTTTGAAACCGTCTTTTCGTGGAATCTGCAGGAGGATATTTGGATAGCTTTGAGGATTTCGTTGGAAACGGGATTACATGTACAAAGTAGACAGCATCATTCTCAGAAGCTGCTGTGTGATGTTTGCTTTTAAGTCACAGAGTTGAACATTCCCTTTCATAGAGCAGGTTTCCAACACTCTTTCTGTAGTATCTGGAAGAGGACATTTCGAGCGCTTTCAGGCCTATGGTGAACAAGGGATTATCTTCCCATAAAACTTGACAGAAGCATTCTCACAAACTGGTTTGGGATGTATGTCCTCAGCTAACAGAGTACAACCTGTCTGTTGATACAGCAGTATTGCAACACACTTTCTGTAGAATCTGCAAGTGGATATTTGGATAGCTCTAACGATTTCGTTGGAAACGAGAATACTTTAGTATAAAATCTAGACACAGGCACTCTCAGAAACTGCTCTGTGATATGTGCATTCAAGTCACAGAGTTGAACATTCCCTTTATTAGAGCAGGTTTGAAACACTCTTTTTGTAGTATCTGGAAGTGGACATTTGGAGCGCTTTGACGCCTTTGCTGAAAAAGGAAATATCTTCTCTTCAAAACTAGACAGAAACATTCCCAGAAACTTCTTTGTGATGTGTGTCCTCAACTAACAGAGTTCAACCTCTCTTATGATACAGAAGCTTGGAAACACTCTTTTTGTAGTATATGCAAGGGGATATTTGGATAGCTCGAAGTATTTCGTTGGAAACGGGAATATCTTCATATAAAATCTAGACAGAAGCACTCTCCGAAACTACTTTGTGATAACTGCATTCAAGTCAGAGTTGAATATTCCCTTTCTCAGAGCAGGTTTGAAACCGTCTTTTCTTGGAATCTGCAGGTGGATATTTGGATAGCTTTCAGGATTTCGTTGGAAACGGGATTCCATATACAAAGTAGACAGTAGCATTCTCAGAAGCTTCTCTGTGATGTTTGCTTTTAAGTCACAGAGTTGAGAATTCCCTTTCATAGAGCAGGTTTGAAACACTCTTTCTGTAGTATCTGGAAGTGGACATTTCGAGGGCTTTCAGGCCTATGGTGAAAAAGGAAATATCTTCCCATAAAAACTAGACAGAAGCATTCTCAGAAACTTATTTGTGATGTGTGTCCTCAACTAACAGATTTGAACCTCTCTTTTGATACAGCAGTTTGGAAACACTCTTTTTGTAGAATCTGCAAGTGGATATTCGGATAACTTTGAAGATTTCGTTGGAAACGGGAATATCTTCATGTAAAATCGAGACAGAAGCATTCTCAGAAACTGCTTTGTGATGTCTGCATTCACGTCACAGAGTTGAACATTCGCTTTCATAGAGCAGGTTTGAAAGACTCTTTCTGTAGTATCTGGATGTGCACACTTGGAGCGCTTTGACGCTTACGATGAAAAAGGAAATATCTTCCCATAAAAACTAGACAGAAGCATTCTCACAAACTGGTTTGTGATGTATGTCCTCAACTAACAGAGTTGAAACTTTCTATTTACAGAGCAGTTTTGAAAGACTCAATTGGAGAATCTGTAAGTGGATATTTGGAAAGCTTTAAGGATTTCATTGGAAACCGGAATATCTTCAGATAATATCTACACAGAAGCATTCTCACAAACTGGTTTGGGATGTATGTCCTCAGCTAACAGAGTACAACCTGTCTTTTGATACAGCAGTATTGAAAGACTCTTTCTGTAGAATCTGCAAGTGGATATTTGGATAGCTCTAACGATTTCTTTGGAAACGGGAATAACTTAATGCAAAATCTAGACAGAGGCACTCTCAGAAACTGCTTTGTGATATGTGCATTCAAGTCACAGAGTTGAACATTCCCTTTATTGGAGCAGGTTTGAAACACTCTTTTTGTAGTATCTGGAAGTGGACATTTGGAGCGCTTTGACGCCTTTGGTGAAAAAGGAAATATCTTCCCATAAAAACTAGACAGAAGCATTCTCAGAAACTTGTTTGTGATGTGTGTCCTCAACTAACAGAGTTCAACCTCTCTTATGATACAGAAGTTTGGAAACACTCTTTTTGTAGAATATGCCAGGGGTTATTTGGATAGCTTGAAGTATTTCGTTGGAAACTGGAATAACTTCATATAAAATCTAGACAGAAGCACTCTCAGAAACTACTTTGTGCTATCTGCATTCAAGTCACAGAGTTGAATATTCCCTTTCTTAGAGCAGGTTTGAAACCGTCTTTTCTTGGAATCTGCAGGTGGATATTTGGATAGCTTTCAGGATTTCGTTGGAAACGGGATTACATATACAAAGTAGACAGTAGCATTCTCAGAAGCTTCTCTGTGATGTTTGCATTTAAGTCACAGAGTTGAGCATTCCCTTTCATAGAGCAGGTTTGAAACACTCTTTCTGTAGTATCTGGAAGTGGACATTTCGAGGGCTTTCAGGCCTATGGTGAAAAAGGAAATATCTTCCCATAAAAACTAGACAGAATCATTCTCAGAAACTTATTTGTGAGGTATGTCCTCAACTAACGGAGTTGAACCTTTCTTTTGATACAGCAGTTTGGAAACACTCTTTTTGTAGAATCTGCAAGTGGATATTTGGATAACTTTGAAGATTTCGTTGGAAACGGGAATATCTTCATGTAAAATCGAGACAGAAGCATTCTCAGAAACTGCTTTGTGATGTCTGCATTCCCGTCACAGAGTTGAACATTCGCTTTCATAGAGCAGGTTTGAAAGACTCTTTCTGTAGTATCTGGATGTGGACACTTGGAGCGCTTTGACGCTTACGGTGAAAAAGGAAATATCTTCCCATAAAAACTAGACAGAAGCATTCTCACAAACTGGTTTGTGATGTATGTCCTCAGCTAACAGAGTTGAACCTTTCTATTTACAGAGCTGTTTTGAAAGACTCTATTGGAGAATCTGCAAGTGGATATTTGGAAAGCTTTAAGGATTTCATTGGAAACCGGAATATCTTCAGGTAAAATCTCGACAAGGGCATTCTCAGAAACTTCTTTGTGATGTGTGTCCTCAAGTAACAGAGTACAACCTGTCTTTTGATACAGCAGTTTGGAAACACTCTTTCTGTAGAATCTACAAGTGGATATTTGGATAGCTGAATCTATTTCGTTGGAAACGGGAATAGCTTCATATAAACTCTAGACAGAAGCACTCTCAGAAACTACTTTGTGATATCTGTATTCAAGTCACAGAGTTGAATATTCCCTTTCTTAGAGCAGGTTTGAAACCGTCTTTTTGTGGAATCTGCAGGAGGATATTTGGATAGCTTTGAGGATTTCGTTGGAAATGGGATTACATGTACAAAGTAGACAGCAGCATTCTCAGAAGCTGCTTTGTGATGTTTGCTTTTAAGTCACAGAGTTGAACATTCCCTTTTATAGAACAGGTGTCAAACACTCTTTCTGTAGTATCTGGAAGAGGACATTTCGAGCACCTTCAGGCCTATGGTGAACAAGGAAATATCTCCCCATACAAACTTGACAGAAGCATTCTCACAAACTGGTTTGGGATGTATGTCCTCAGCTAACAGAGTACAACCTGTCTTTTGATACAGCAGTATTGAAACACACTTTCTGTAGAATCTGCAAGTGGATATTGGGATAGCTCTAACGATTTCGTTGGAAACGAGAATACTTTAGTATAAAATCTAGACACAGGCACTCTCAGAAACTGCTCTGTGATATGTGCATTCAAGTCACAGAGTTGAACATTCCCTTTATTAGAGCAGGTTTGAAACACTGTTTTTGTAGTATCTGGAAGTGGACATTTGGAGCGCTTTGACGCCTTTGCTGAAAAAGGAAATATCTTCTCTTCAAAACTAGACAGAAGCATTCCCAGAAACTTCTTTGTGATGTGTGTCCTCAACTAACAGAGTTCAACCTCTCTTATGATACAGAAGTTTAGAAACACTCTTTTTGTAGTATATGCAAGGGGATATTTGGATAGCTCGAAGTATTTCTTTGGAAACGGGAATATCTTCATATAAAATCTAGACAGAAGCACTCTCAGGAACTACTTTGTGATATCTGCATTCAAGTCACAGAGTTGAATATTCCCTTTCTTAGAGCAGGTTTGAAACCTTCTTTTCTTAGAATCTGCAGGTGGATATTTGGATAGCTTTCAGGATTTCGTTGCAAACGGGATTACACATACAAAGTAGACAGTAGCATTCTCAGAAGCTTCTCTGTGATGTTTGCTTTTAAGTCACAGAGTTGAACATTCCCTTTCATAGAGCAGGTTTGAAACACTCTTTCTGTAGTATCTGGAAGTGGACATTTCGAGCGCTTTCAGGCCTATGGTGAAAAAGGAAATATCTTCCCATAAAAACTAGACAGAAGCCTTCTCAGAAACTCATTTGTGATGTATGTCCTCAACTAACAGAGTTGAACCTTTCTTTTGATACAGCAGTTTGGAAACACTCTTTTTGTAGAATCTGCAAGTGGATATTTGGATAACTTTGAAGATTTCGTTGGAAACGGGAATATCTTCATGTAAAATCGGGACAGAATCATTCTCAGAAACTGCTTTGTGATATCTGCATTCACGTCACAGAGTTGAACATTCCTTTTCATAGAGCAGGTTTGAAACACTCTTTCTGTAGTATCTGGATCTGGACACTTGGAGCGCTTGGACGCTTACGGTGAAAAAGGAAATATCTTCCCATAAAAACTAGACAGAAGCATTCTCACAAACTGGTTTGTGATGTATGTCCTCAGCTAACAGAGTTGAACCTTTCTATTTACAGAGCTGTTTTGAAAGACTCTATTGGAGAATCTGCAAGTGGATATTTGGAAAGCTTTAAGGATTTCATTGGAAACCGGAATATCTTCAGGTAAAATCTCGACAAGGGCATTCTCAGAAACTTCTTTGTGATGTGTGTCCTCAAGTAACAGAGTACAACCTGTCTTTTGATACAGCAGTTTGGAAACACTCTTTCTGTAGAATCTACAAGTGGATATTTGGATAGCTCAAGCTATTTCGTTGGAAACGGGAATAGCTTCATATAAACTCTAGACAGAAGCACTCTCAGAAACTACTTTGTGATATCTGTATTCAAGTCACAGAGTTGAATATTCCCTTTCTTACAGCAGGTTTGAAACCGTGTTTTCGTGGAATCTGCAGGAGGATATTTGGATAGATTTGAGGATTTCTTTGGAAACGGGATTACATGTACAAAGTAGACAGCAGCATTCTCAGAAGCTGCTGTGTGATGTTTGCTTTTAAGTCACAGAGTTGAACATTCCCTTTCATAGAGCAGGTTTCAAACACTCTTTCTGTAGTATCTGGAAGAGGACATTTCGAGCGCTTTGACGCTTTCGGTGAAAAAGGAAATATCTTCCCATAAAAACTTGACAGAATCATTCTCACAAACTCGTTTGGGATGTATGTCCTCAGCTAACAGAGTTCAACCTGTCTTTTGATACAGCAGTATTGAAACACACTTTCTGTAGAATCTGCAAGTGGATATTTGGATAGCTCTAACGATTTCGTTGGAAACGGGAATACTTTAGTATAAAATCTAGACACAGGCACTCTCAGAAACTGCTTTGTGATATGTGCATTCAAGTCACAGAGTTGAACATTCCCTTTATTAGAGCAGGTTTGAAACACTCTTTTTGTAGTATCTGGAAGTGGACATTTGGAGCGCTTTGACGCCTTTGGTGAAAAAGGAAATATCTTCCCTAAAAAACTAGACAGAAGCATTCTCAGAAACTTCTTTGTGATGTGTGTCCTCAACTAATAGAGTTCAAACTCTCTTATGATACAGAAGTTTGGAAACAGTCTTTTTGGAGAATATGCCAGGGGATATTTGGATAGCTCGAAGTATTTCGTTGGAAACGGGAATATCTTCATGTTAAATCGAGACAGAAGCATTCTCAGAAACTGCTTTGTGATGTCTGCATTCACGTCACAGAGTTGAACATTCGCTTTCATAGAGCAGGTTTGAAACACTCTTTCTGTAGTATCTGGATGTGGACACTTGGAGCGCTTTGACGCTTACGGTGCAAAAGGAAATATCTTCCCATAAAAACTAGACAGAAGCAGTCTCAGAAGCTTCTCTGTGATGTTTGCCTTTAAGTCACAGAGTTGAACATTCCCTTTCATAGAGCAGGTTTGAAACACTCTATCTGTAGCATCTGGAAGTGGACATTTCGAGCGCATTCAGGCCTATGGTGAAAAAGGAAATATCTTCCCATAAAAACTAGACAGAAGCATTCTCAGAAACTTATTTGTGATGTATGACCTCAACCAACAGAGTTGAACCTTTCTTTTGATACAGCAGTTTGGAAACACTCTTTTTGTAGAATCTGCAAGTGGATATTTGGATAACTTTGAAGATTTCGTTGGAAACGGGAATATCTTCATGTAAAATCGAGACAGAAGCATTCTCAGAAACTGCTTTGTGATGTCTGCATTCACGTCACAGAGTTGAACATTCGCTTTCATAGAGCAGGTTTGAAAGACTCTTTCTGTAGTATCTGGATGTGGACACTTGGAGGGCTTTGACGCTTACCGTGAAAAAGGAAATATCTTCCCATAAAAACTAGACAGAAGCATTCTCACAAACTGGTTTGTGATGTATGTCCTCAACTAACAGAGTTGAACCTTTCTATTTACAGAGCACTTTTGAAAGACTCAATTGGAGAATCTGCAAGTGGATATTTGGATAACTTTGAAGATTTCGTTGGAAACGGGAATATCTTCATGTAAAATCGAGACAGAGGCATTCTCAGAAACTTCTTTGTGATGTGTGTCCTCAAGTAACAGAGTACAACCAGTCTTTTGCTACAGCAGTTTGGAAACACTCTTTCTGTAGAATCTACAAGTGGATATTTGGATAGCTGAAGCTATTTCGTTGGAAACGGGAACAGCTTCATATAAACTCTAGACAGAAGCACTCTCAGAAACTACTTTGTGATATCTGTATTCAAGTCACAGAGTTGAATATTCCCTTTCTTAGAGCAGGTTTGAAACCGTCTTTTCGTGGAATCTGCAGGAGGATATTTGGATAGCTTTGGGGATTTCGTCGGAAACGGGATTACATATACAAAGTAGACAGCAGCATTCTCAGAAGCTGCTTTGTGATGTTTGCTTTTAAGTCACAGAGTTGAACATTCCCTTTCAGAGAGCAGGTTTCAAACACTCTTTCTGTAGTATCTGGAAGAGGATATTTCGAGCGCTTTCAGGCCTATGGTGAACAAGGAAATATCTTCCCATACAAACTTGACAGAAGCATTCTCACAAACTGGTTTGGGATGTATGTCCTCAGCTAACAGAGTACAACCTGTCTTTTGATACAGCAGTATTGAAACACTCTTTCTGTAGAATCTGCAAGTGGATATTTGGATAGCTCTAACGATTTCGTTGGAAACGGGAATACTTTAGTATAAAATCTAGACAGAGGCACTCTCAGAAACTGCTCTGTGATATGTGCATTCAAGTCACAGAGTTGAACATTCCCTTTATTAGAGCAGGTTTGAAACACTGTTTTTGTAGTATCTGGAAGTGGACATTTGGAGCGCTTTGACGCCTTTGCTGAAAAAGGAAATATCTTCTCTTCAAAACTAGACAGAAGCATTCCCAGAAACTTCTTTGTGATGTGTGCCCTCAACTAACAGAGTTCAACCTCTCTTATGCTACAGAAGTTTGGAAACACTCTTTTTGTAGTATATGCAAGGGGATATTTGTATAGCTCGAAGTATTTCGTTGGAAACGGGAATATCTTCATATAAAATCTAGACAGAAGCACTCTCCGAAACTACTTTGTGCTATCTGCATTCAAGTCACAGAGTTGAATATTCCCTTTCTTAGAGCAGGTTTGAAACCGTCTTTTCTTGGAATCTGCAGGTGGATATTTGGATAGCTTTCAGGATTTCGTTGGAAACAGGATTACATATACAAAGTAGACAGTAGCATTCTCAGAAGCTTCTCTGTGATGTTTGCTTTTAAGTCACAGAGTTGAGCATTCCCTTTCATAGAGCAGGTTTGAAACACTCTTTCTGTAGTATCTGGAAGTGGACATTTCGAGGGCTTTCAGGCCTATGGTGAAAAAGGAAATATCTTCCCATAAAAACTAGACAGAAGCATTCTCAGAAACTTCTTTGTGATGTGTGTCCTCAACTAACAGAGTCAAACCTCTCTTATGATAGAGAAGTTTGGAAACACTCTTTTTGGAAAATATGCCAGGGGATATTTGGATAGCTCGAAGTATTTCGTTGGAAACGGGAATATCTTCATGTTAAATCGAGACAGAAGCATTCTCAGAAACTGCTTTGTGATGTCTGCATTCACGTCACAGATTTGAATATTCGCTTTCATAGAGCAGGTTTGAAACACTCTTTCTGTAGTATCTGGATGTGGACACTTGGAGCGCTTTGACGCTTACGGTGCAAAAGGAAATATCTTCCCATAAAAACTAGACAGAAGCATTCTCACAAACTGGTTTGTGATGTATGTCCTCAACTAACAGAGTTGAACCTTTCTATTTACAGAGCTGTTTTGAAAGACTCTATTGGAGAATCTGCAAGTGGATATTTGGAAAGCTTTAAGGATTTCATTGTAAACCGGAATATCTTCAGGTAAAATCTCGAAAACGGCATTCTCAGAAACTTCTTTGTGATGTGTGTCCTCAAGTAACAGAGTACAACCTGTCTTTTGATTCAGCAGTTTGGAAACACTCTTTCTGTAGAATCTACAAGTGGATATTTGGATAGCTCAAGCTATTTCGTTGGAAACGGGAATAGCTTCATATAAACTCTAGACAGAAGCACTCTCCGAAACTACTTTGTGCTATCTGCATTCAAGTCACAGAGTTGAATATTCCCTTTCTTAGAGCAGGTTTGAAACCGTCTTTTCGTGGAATCTGCAGGAGGATATTTGGATAGCTTTGGGGATTTCGTCGGAAACGGGATTACATATACAAAGCAGACAGCAGCATTCTCAGGAGCTGCTTTGTGATGTTTGCTTTTAAGTCACAGAGTTGAACATTCCCTTTCAGAGAGCAGGTTTCAAACACTCTTTCTGTAGTATCTGGAAGAGGACGTTTCGAGCGCTTTCAGGCCTATGGTGAACAAGGAAATATCTTCCCATACAAACTTGACAGAAGCATTCTCACAAACTGGTTTGGGATGTATGTCCTCAGCTAACAGAGTACAACCTGTCTTTTGATACAACAGTATTGAAACACTCTTTCTGTAGAATCTGCAAGTGGATATTTGGATAGCTCTAACGATTTCGTTGGAAACGGGAATACTTTAGTATAAAATCTAGACACAGGCACTCTCAGAAACTGCTTTGTGATATGTGCATTCAAGTCACAGAGTTGAACATTCCCTTTATTAGAGCAGGTTTGAAACACTCTTTTTGTAGTATCTGGAAGTGGACATTTGGAGCGCTTTGACGCCTTTGGTGAAAAAGGAAATATCTTCCCATAAAAACTAGACAGAAGCATTCTCAGAAACTTTTTTGTGATGTGTGTCCTCAAGTAACAGAGTTCAACCTCTCTTTTGATACAGAAGTTTGGAAACACTCTTTTTGTAGAAGATGCAAGGGGATATTTGGATAGCTGGAAGCATTTCGTTTTAAAGGGGAATATCTTCATATAAAATCTAAACAGAAGCACTCTCAGAAACTACTTTGTGATAACTGCATTCAAGTCACAGTTGAATATTCCCTTTCTGAGAGCAGGTTTGAAACCGTCTTTTCTTGGAATCTGCAGGTGGATATTTGGATAGCTTTCAGGATTTCGTTGGAAACGGGATTCCATATACAAAGTAGACAGTAGCATTCTCAGAAGCTTCTCTGTGATGTTTGCCTTTAAGTCACAGAGTTGGACATTCCCTTCATAGAGGAGGTTTGAAACACTCTATCTGTAGCATCTGGAAGTGGACATTTGGAGCGCTTTCAGGCCTATGGTGAAAAAGGAAATATCTTCCCATAAAAACTAAACAGAAGCCTTCGCAGAAACTTGTTTGTGATGTGTGTCCTCAACTCACAGAGTTGAACATTTCGTTTGACAGAGGAGTTTGGAAACACACTTTTTGTAGAATCTGCAAGGGGATATTTGATAACTTTGCAGATTTCGTTGGAAGCGGGAATATCTTCATGTAAAATCGAGACAGAAGCACTCTCAGAAACTGCTTTGTGATGTCTGCATTCACGTCACGGGATTGAACATTCGCTTTCATAGAGCAGGTTTGAAACACTCTTTCTGTAGTATCTGGATGTGGACACTTGGAGCGCTTTGACGCTTACGGTGAAAAAGGAAATATCTTCCCATAAAAACCAGACAGAAGCATTCTCACAAACTGGTTTGTGATGTATGTCCTCAACTAAGAGGGTTGTACCTTTCTATTTACAGAGCAGTTTTGAAAGACTCTATTGGAGAATCTGCAAGTGTATATTTGGAAAGCTTTAAGGATTTCATTGGAAACCGGAATATCTTCAGGTAAAATCTAGACAGAGGCATTGTCAGAAACTTCTTTGTGATGTGTGTCCTCAAGTAACAGAGTACAACCTGTCTTTTGATACAGTAGTTTGGAAACACTCTTTCTGTAAAATCTGCAAGTGGATATTTGGATAGCTCAAGCTATTTCTTTGGAAACGGGAATATCTTCATATAAACTCTAGACAGAAGCACTGTCAGAAACTACTTTGTGATATCTGTATTCAAGTCACAGAGTTGAATATTCCCTTTCTTAGAGCAGGTTTGAAACCGTCTTTTCGTGGAATCTGCAGGAGGATATTTGGATAGCTTTGAGGATTTCGTTGGAAACGGGATTACATATACAAAGTAGACAGCAGCATTCTCAGAAGCTGCTTTGTGATGTTTGCTTTTAAGTCACAGAGTGGAACATTCCCTTTCATAGAGCAGGTTTCAAACACTCTTTCTGTAGTATCTGTAAGAGGATATTTCGAGCGCTTTCAGGCCTATGGTGAACAAGGAAATATCTTCCCATGAAAAGTTGACAGAAGCATTCTCACAAACTGCTTTGGGATGTATGTCCTCAGCTAACAGAGTACAGCCTGTCTTTTGATACAGCAGTATTGAAACACTCTTTCTGTAGAATCTGCAAGTGGATATTTGGATAGCTCTAACGATTTCGTTGGAAACGGGAATAATTTAGTATATAATCTAGACAGAGGCACTCTCAGAAACTGCTCTGTGATATGTGCATTCAAGTCACAGAGTTGAACATTCCCTTTATTAGAGCAGGTTTGAAACACTCTTTTTGTAGTATCTGGAAGTGGACATTTGGAGCGCTTTGACGCCTTTGCTGAAAAAGGAAATATCTTCTCTTCAAAACTAGACAGAAGCATTCTCAGAAACTTGTTTGTGATGTGTGTCCTCAACTAACAGAGTTCAACCTCTCTTATGATACAGAAGTTTGGAAACACTCTTTTTGTAGAATATGCCAGGGGTTATTTGGATAGCTTGAAGTATTTCGTTGGAAACCGGAATAACTTCATATAAAATCTAGACAGAAGCAGCACTCTCAGAAACTACTTTGTGAAAACTGCATTCAAGTCAGAGTTGAATATTCCCTTTCTGAGAGCAGGTTTGAAACCGTCTTTTCTTGGAATCTGCAGGTGGATATTTGGATAGCTTTCAGGATTTCGTTGGAAACGGGATTCCATATACAAAGTAGACAGTAGCAGTCTCAGAAGCTTCTCTGTGATGTTTGCCTTTAAGTCACAGAGTTGAACATTCCCTTTCATAGAGCAGGTTTGAAACACTCCATCTGTAGCATCTGGAAGTGGACATTTCGAGCGCATTCAGGCCTATGGTGAAAAAGGAAATATCTTCCCATAAAAACTAGACAGAAGCATTCTCAGAAACTTATTTGTGATGTGTGTCCTCAACTAACAGAGTTGAACCTTTCTTTTGATACAGCAGTTTGGAAACACACTTTTTGTAGAATCTACAAGGGGATATTTGGATAACTTTGAAGATTTCGTTGGAAGCGGGAATATCTTCATGTAAAATTGAGACAGAAGCTTTCTCAGAAACTGCTTTGTGATGTCTGCATTCAGGTCACCGAGTTGAACATTCGCTTTCATAGAGCAGGTTTGAGAGACTCTTTCTGTAGTATCTGGATGTGGACACTTGGAGCGCTTTGACGCTTACGGTGAAAAAGGAAATATCTTCCCATAAAAACTAGACAGAAGCATTCTCACAAACTGGTTTGTGATGTATGTCCTCAACTAACAGAGTTGAAACTTTCTATTTACAGAGCAGTTTTGAAAGACTCAATTGGAGAATCTGTAAGTGGATATTTGGAAAGCTTTAAGGATTTCATTGGAAACCGGAATATCTTCAGATAATATCTACACAGAGGCATTCTCAGAAACTTCTTTGTGATGTGTGTCCTCAAGTAACAGAGTACAACCTGTCTTTTGATACAGCAGTTTGGAAACACTCTTTCTGTAGAATCTACAAGTGGATATTTGGATAGCTGAATCTATTTCGTTGGAAACGGGAATAGCTTCATATAAACTCTAGACAGAAGCACTCTCAGAAACTACTTTGTGATATCTGTATTCAAGACACAGTTTTGAATATTCCCTTTCTTAGAGCAAGTTTGAAACCGTATTTTCGTGGAATCTGCAGGAGGATATTTGGATAGCTTGGAGGATTTCGCTGGAAACGGGAATACATATACAAAGTAGACAGCAGCATTCTCAGAAGCTGCTTTGTGATGTTTGCTTTTAAGTCACAGAGTTGAACATTCCCTTTCAGAGAGCAGGTTTCAAACACTCTTTCTGTAGTATCTGGAAGAGGATATTTCGAGCGCTTTCAGGCCTATGGTGAACAAGGAAATATCTTCCCATACAAACTTGACAGAAGCATTCTCACAAACTGGTTTGGGATGTATGTCCTCAGCTAACAGAGTACAACCTGTCTTTTGATACAGCAGTATTGAAACACTCTTTCTGTAGAATCTGCAAGTGGATATTTGGATAGCTCTAACGATTTCGTTGGAAACGGGAATACTTTAGTATAAAATCTAGACTCAGGCACTCTCAGAAACTACTCTGTGATATGTGCATTCAAGTCACAGAGTTGAACATTCCCTTTATTAGAGCAGGTTTGAAACACTGTTTTTGTAGTATCTGGAAGTGGACATTTGGAGCGCTTTGACGCCTTTGCTGAAAAAGGAAATATCTTCTCTTCAAACCTAGACAGAAGCATTCCCTGAAACTTCTTTGTGATGTGTGTCCTCAACTAACAGAGTTCAACCTCTCTTATGATACAGAAGTTTGGAAACACTCTTTTTGTAGTATGTGCAAGGGGATATTTGGATAGCTCGAAATATTTCTTTGGAAACGGGAATATCTTCATATAAAATCTAGACAGAAGCACTCTCAGAAACTACTTTGTGATAACTGCATTCAAGTCAGAGTTGAATATTCGTTTATGAGAGCAGGTTTGAAACCGTCTTTTCTTGGAATCTGCAGGAGGATATTTGGATAGCTTTCAGGATTTCGTTGGAAACGGGATTCCATATACAAAGTAGACAGTAGCATTCTCAGAAGCTTCTCTGTGATGTTTGCTTTTAAGTCACAGAGTTGAGCATTCCCTTTCATAGAGCAGGTTTGAAACACTCTTTCTGTAGTATCTGGAAGTGGACATTTCGAGGGCTTTCAGGCGTATGGTGAAAAAGGAAATATCTTCCCATAAAAACTAGACAGAAGCCTTCTCAGAAACTCATTTGTGATGTATGTCCTCAACTAACAGAGTTGAACCTTTCTTTTGATACAGCAGTTTGGAAACACTCTTTTTGTAGAATCTGCAAGTGGATATTTGGATAAATTTGAAGATTTCGTTGGAAACGGGAATATCTTCATGTAAAATCGAGACAGAAGCATTCTCAGAAACAGCTTTGTGATGTCTGCATTCACGTCACAGAGTTGAACATTCGCTTTCATAGAGCAGGTTTGAAACACTCTTTCTGCAGTATCTGGATGTGGACACTTGGAGCGCTTTGACGCTTACGGTGCAAAAGGAAATATCTTCCCATAAAAATTAGACAGAAGCATTCTCACAAAGTGGTTTGTGATGTATGTCCTCAACTAACAGAGTTGAACCTTTCTATTTACAGAGCAGTTTTGAAACACTCAATTGGAGAATCTGCAAGTGCATATTTGGAAAGCTTTAAGGATTTCCTTGGAAACCGGAATATCTTCAGGTAAAATCTAGACAGAGGCATTCTCAGTAAACTTCTTTGTGATGTGTGTCCTCAAGTAACAGAGTACAACCTGTCTTTTGATACAGCAGTTTGGAAACACTCTTTCTGTAGAATCTACAAGTGGATATTTGGATAGCTCAAGCTATTTCGTTGGAAACGGGAATAGCTTCATATAAACTCTAGACAGAAGCACTCTCAGAAACTACTTTGTGATATCTGTATTCAAGTCACAGAGTTGAATATTCCCTTTCTTAGAGCAGGTTTGAAACCGTCTTTTCGTGGAATCTGCAGGAGGATATTTGGATAGCTATGGGGATTTCTTCGGAAACGGGATTACATATACAAAGTAGACAGCAGCATTCTCAGAAGCTGCTTTGTGATGTTTGCTTTTAAGTCACAGAGTTGAACATTCCCTTTCAGAGAGCAGGTTTCAAACACTCTTTCTGTAGTATCTGGAAGAGGATATTTCGAGCGCTTTCAGGCCTATGGTGAACAAGGAAATATCTTCCCATACAAACTTGACAGAAGCATTCTCACAAACTGGTTTGGGATGTATGTCCTCAGCTAACAGAGTACAACCTGTCTTTTGATACAGCAGTATTGAAACACTCTTTCTGTAGAATCTGCAAGTGGATATTTGGATAGATCTAACGATTTCGTTGGAAACGGGAATACTTTAGTATAAAATCTAGACACAGGCACTCTCAGTAAACTGCTCTGTGATATGTGCATTCAAGTCACAGAGTTGAACATTCCCTTTATTAAAGCAGGTTTGAAACACTGTTTTTGTAGTATCTGGAAGTGGACATTTGGAGCGCTTTGACGCCTTTGCTGAAAAAGGAAATATCTTCTCTTCAAAACTAGACAGAAGCATTCCCAGAAACTTCTTTGTGATGTGTGCCCTCAACTAACAGAGTTCAACCTCTCTTATGATACAGAAGTTTGGAAACACTCTTTTTGTAGTATATGCAAGGGGATATTTGGATAGCTCGAAGTATTTCGTTGGAAACGGGAATATCTTTATATAAAATCTAGACAGAAGCACTCTCCGAAACTACTTTGTGATAACTGCATTCAAGTCAGAGTTGAATATTCCCTTTCTGAGAGCAGGTTTGAAACCGTCTTTTCTTGGAATCTGCAGGTGGATATTTGGATAGCTTTCAGGATTTCGTTGGAAACGGGATTCCATATACAAAGTAGACAGTAGCAGTCTCAGAAGCTTCTCTGTGATGTTTGCCTTTAAGTCACAGAGTTGAACATTCCCTTTCATAGAGCAGGTTTGAAACACCCTATCTGTAGCATCTGGAAGTGGACATTTCGAGCGCTTTCAGGCCTATGGTGAAAAAGGAAATATCTTCCCATAAAAACTAGACAGAAGCATTCTCAGAAACTTATTTGTGATGTATGACCTCAACTAACAGAGTTGAACCTTTCTTTTGATACAGCAGTTTGGAAACACTCTTTTTGTAGAATCTGCAAGTGGATATTTGGATAACTTTGAAGATTTCGTTGGAAACGGGAATATCTTCATGTAAAATCGAGACAGAAGCATTCTCAGAAACAGCTTTGTGATGTCTGCATTCACGTCACAGAGTTGAACATTCGCTTTCATAGAGCAGGTTTGAAACACTCTTTCTGCAGTATCTGGATGTGGACACTTGGAGCGCTTTGACGCTTACGGTGCAAAAGGAAATATCTTCCCATAAAAACTAGACAGAAGCATTCTCACAAACTGGTTTGTGATGTATGTCCTCAGCTAACAGAGTTGAACCTTTCTATTTACAGAGCTGTTTTGAAAGACTCTATTGGAGAATCTGCAAGTGGATATTTGGAAAGCTTTAAGGATTTCATTGGAAACCGGAATATCTTCAGGTAAAATCTCGACAAGGGCCTTCTCAGAAACTACTTTGTGATGTGTGTCCTCAAGTAACAGAGTACAACCTGTCTTTCGATACAGCAGTTTGGAAACACTCTTTCTGTAGAATCTGCAAGTGGATAGTTGGATAGCTCAAGCTATTTCGTTGGAAACGGGAATAGCTTCATATAAACTCTAGACAGAAGCACTCTCAGAAACTACTTTGTGATATCTGTATTCAAGTCACAGAGTTGAATATTCCCTTTCTTAGAGCAGGTTTGAAACCATCTTTTCGTGGAATCTGCAGGACGATAATTGGATAGCTTTGAGGATTTCGTTGGAAACAGGATTACATATACAAAGTGGACAGCAGCATTCTCAGAAGCTGCTTTGTGATGTTTGCTTTTAAGTCACAGAGTTGAACATTCCCTTTCAGAGAGCAGGTTTCAAACACTCTTTCTGTAGTATCTGGAAGAGGACATTTCGAGCGCTTTCAGGCCTATGGTGAACTAGGAAATATCTTCCCATACAAACTTGACAGAAGCATTCTCACAAACTGGTTTGGGATGTATGTCCTCAGCTAACAGAGTACAACCTGTCTTTTGATACAGCAGTATTGAAACACACTTTCTGTAGAATCTGCAAGTGGATATTTGGATAGCTCTAACGATTTCTTTGGAAACGGGAATACTTTAGTACAAAATCTAGACACAGGCACTCTCAGAAACTGCTCTGTGATATATCCATTCAAGTCACAGAGTTGAACATTCCCTTTATTAGAGCAGGTTTGAAACACTGTTTTTGTAGTATCTGGAAGTGGACATTTGGAGCGCTTTGACGCCTTTGCTGAAAAAGGAAATATCTTCTCTTCAAAACTAGACAGAAGCATTCCCAGAAACTTCTTTGTGATGTGTGTCCTCAACTAACAGAGTTCAACCTCTTTTATGATACAGAAGTTTGGAAACACTCTTTTTGTAGTATATGCAAGGGGATATTTGGATAGCTCGAAGTATTTCGTTGGAAACGGGAATATCTTCATATAAAATCTAGACTGAAGCACTCTCAGAAAGTACTTTGTGATATCTGCATTCAAGTCACAGAGTTGAATATTCCCTTTCTTAGAGCAGGGTTGAAACCGTCTTTTCTTGGAATCTGCAGGTGGATATTTGGATAGCTTTCAGGACATCTTTGGAAACGGGATTACATATACAAAGTAGACAGTAGCATTCTCAGAAGCTTCACTGTGATGTTTGCTTTTAAGTCACAGAGTTGAGCATTCCCTTTCATAGAGCAGGTTTGAAACACTCTTTCTGTAGTATCTGGAAGTGGACATTTCGAGGGCTTTCAGGCCTATGGTGAAAAAGGAAATATCTTCCCATAAAAACTAGACAGAAGCATTCTCAGAAACTTATTTGTGATGTGTGTCCTCAACTAACAGAGTTGAACCTTTCTTTTGATACAGCAGTTTGGAAACACTCTTTTTGTAGAATCTGCAAGTGGATATTTGGATAACTTTGAAGATTTCGTTGGAAACGGGAATATCTTCATGTAAAATCGGGACAGAAGCATTCTCAGAAACTGCTTTGTGATGTCTGCATTCACGTCACAGAGTTGAACATTCGCTTTCATAGAGCAGGTTTGAAAGACTCTTTCTGTAGTATCTGGATGTGGACACTTGGAGCACTTTGACGCTTACGGTGAAAAAGGAAATATCTTCCCATAAAAACTAGACAGAAGCATTCTCACAAACTGGTTTGTGATGTATGTTCTCAGCTAACAGAGTTGAACCTTTCTATTTACAGAGCTGTTTTGAAAGACTCTATTGGAGAATCTGCAAGTGGATAATTGGAAAGCTTTAAGGATTTCATTGGAAACCGGAATATCTTCAGGTAAAATACTCGACAAGGGCATTCTCAGAAACTTCTTTGTGATGTGTGTCCTCAAGTAACAGAGTACAACCTGTCTTTTGATACAGCAGTTTGGAAACACTCTTTCTGTAGAATCTACAAGTGGATATTTGGATAGCTCAAGCTATTTCGTTGGAAACGGGAATAGCTTCATATAAACTCTAGACAGAAGCACTCTCAGAAACTACTTTGTGATATCTGTATTCAAGTCACAGAGCTGAATATTCCCTTTCTTAGAGCAGGTTTGAAACCGTCTTTTCGTGGAATCTGCAGGAGGATATTTGGATAGCTTTGGGGATTTCGTCGGAAACGGGATTACATATACAAAGCAGACAGCAGCATTCTCAGAAGCTGCTTTGTGATGTTTGCTTTTAAGTCACAGAGTTGAACATTCCCTTTCAGAGAGCAGGATTCAAACACTCTTTCTGTAGTATCTGGAAGAGGACATTTGGAGCGCTTTCAGGCCTATGGTGAACAAGGAAATATCTTCCCATACAAACTTGACAGAAGCATTCTCACAAACTGGTTTGGGATGTATGTCCTCAGCTAACAGAGTACAACCTGTCTTTTGATACAGCAGTATTGAAACACACTTTCTGTAGAATCTGCAAGTGGATATTTGGATAGCTCTAACGATTTCTTTGGAAACGGGAATACTTTAGTACAAAATCTAGACACAGGCACTCTCAGAAACTGCTCTGTGATATATGCATTCAAGTCACAGAGTTGAACATTCCCTTTATTAGAGCAGGTTTGAAACACTGTTTTTGTAGTATCTGGAAGTGGACATTTGGAGCGCTTTGACGCCTTTGCTGAAAAAGGAAATATCTTCTCTTCAAAACTAGACAGAAGCATTCCCAGAAACTTCTTTGTGATGTGTGTCCTCAACTAACAGAGTTCAACCTCTCTTATGATACAGAAGTTTGGAAACACTCTTTTTGTAGTATATGCAAGGGGATATTTGGATAGCTCGAAGTATTTCTTTGGAAACGGGAATATCTTCATATAAAATCTAGACAGAAGCACTCTCAGAAACTACTTTGTGATATCTGCATTCAAGTCACAGAGTTGAATATTCCCTTTCTTAGAGCAGGGTTGAAACCGTCTTTTCTTGGAATCTGCAGGTGGATATTTGGATAGCTTTCAGGATTTCTTTGGAAACGGGATTACATATACACAGTAGACAGTAGCATTCTCAGAAGCTTCTCTGTGATGTTTGACTTTAAGTCACAGAGTTGAACATTCCCTTCATAGAGGAGGTTTGAAACACTCTATCTGTAGCATCTGGAAGTGGACATTTGGAGCGCTTTCAGGCCTATGGTGAAAAAGGAAATATCTTCCCATAAAAACTAGACAGAATCATTCTCAGAAACTTATTTGTGATGTATGTCCTCAACTAACGGAGTTGAACCTTTCTTTTGATACAGCAGTTTGGAAACACTCTTTTTGTAGAATCTGCAAGTGGATATTTGGATAACTTTGAAGATTTCGTTGGAAACGGGAATATCTTCATGTAAAATCGAGACAGAAGCATTCTCAGAAACTGCTTTGTGATCTCTGCATTCACGTCACAGAGTTCAACATTCGCTTTCATAGAGCAGGTTTGAAACACTCTTTCTGCAGTATCTGGATGTGGACACTTGGAGCGCTTTGACGCTTACGGTGCAAAAGGAAATATCTTCCCATAAAAATTAGACAGAAGCATTCTCACAAACTGGTTTGTGATGTGTGTCCTCAGCTAACAGAGTTGAACCTTTCTATTTACAGAGCTGTTTTGAAAGACTCTATTGGAGAATCTGCAAGTGGATATTTGGAAAGCTTTAAGGATTTCATTGGAAACCGGAATATCTTCAGGTAAAATCTCGACAAGGGCATTCTCAGAAACTTGTTTGTGTTGTGTGTCCTCAAGTAACAGAGTACAACCTGTCTTTTGATACAGCAGTTTGGAAACACTCTTTATGTAGAATCTGCAAGTGGATAGTTGGATAGCTCAAGCTATTTCGTTGGAAAGGGGAATATGTTCATATAAACTCTAGACAGAAGCACTCTGAGAAACTACTTTGTGATATCTGCATTCAAGTCACAGAGTTGAATATTCCCTTTCTTAGAGCAGGTTTGAAACCGTCTTTTCGTGGAATCTGTAGGAGGATATTTGGATAGCTTTGAGGATTTCGTTGGAAACGGGATTACATATACAAAGTAGACAGCAGCATTCTCAGAAGCTGCTTTGTGATGTTTGCTTTTAAGTCACAGAGTTGAACATTCCCTTTCAGAGAGCAGGATTCAAACACTCTTTCTGTAGTATCTGGAAGAGGACATTTCGAGCGCTTTCAGGCCTATGGTGAACAAGGAAATATCTTCCCATACAAACTTGACAGAAGCATTCTCACAAACTGGTTTGGGATGTATGTCCTCAGCTAACAGAGTACAACCTGTCTTTTGATACAGCAGTATTGCAACACACTTTCTGTAGAATCTGCAAGTGGATATTTGGATAGCTCTAACGATTTCGTTGGAAACGAGAATACTTTAGTATAAAATCTAGACACAGGCACTCTCAGAAACTGCTCTGTGATATGTGCATTCAAGTCACAGAGTTGAACATTCCCTTTATTAGAGCAGGTTTGAAACACTGTTTTTGTAGTATCTGGAAGTGGACATTTGGAGCGCTTTGACGCCTTTGCTGAAAAAGGAAATATCTTCTCTTCAAAACTAGACAGAAGCATTCCCAGAAACTTCTTTGTGATGTGTGTCCTCAACTAACAGAGTTCAACCTCTCTTATGATACAGAAGTTTGGAAACACTCTTTTTGTAGTATATGCAAGGGGATATTTGGATAGCTCGAAGTATTTCGTTGGAAACGGGAATATCTTCATATAAAATCTAGACAGAAGCACTCTCAGAAACTACTTTGTGATATCTGCATTCAAGTCACAGAGTCGAACATTCCCTTTCTTAGAGCCGGTTTGAAACCGTCTTTTCTTGGAATCTGCAGGCGGATATTTGGAAAGCTTTCAGGAATTCCTTGGAAAGGGGATTACATATACAAAGTAGACAGTAGCATTCTCAGAATCTTCTCTGTGATGTTTGCCTTTAAGTCACAGAGTTGAACATTCCCTTTCATAGAGCAGGTTTGAAACACTCTATCTGTAGCATCTGGAAGTGGACATTTCGAGTGCTTTCAGGCCTATGGTGAACAAGGAAATATCTTCCCATAGAAAATTGACAGAAGCATTCTCACAAACTGTTTTGGGATGTATGTCCTCAGCTAACAGAGTACAACCCGTCTTTTGATACAGCAGTTTGGAAACACACATTTTGTAGAATCTGCAAGGGGATATTTGGATAACTTTGAAGATTTCGTTGGAAGCAGGAATATCTTCATGTAAAATCGAGAAAGAAGCATTCTCAGTAAACTGCTTTGTGATGTCTGCATTCACGTCACAGAGTTGAACATTCGCTTTCATAGAGCAGGTTTGAAAGACTCTTTCTGTAGTATCTGGATGTGCACACTTGGAGCGCTTTGACGCTTACGATGAAAAAGGAAATATCTTCCCATAAAAACTAGACAGAAGCATTCTCACAAACTGGTTTGTGATGTGTGTCCTCAGCTAACAGAGTTGAACCTTTCTATTTACAGAGCTGTTTTGAAAGACTCTATTGGAGAATCTGCAAGTGGATATTTGGAAAGCTTTAAGGATTTCATTGGAAACCGGAATATCTTCAGGTAAAATCTCGACAAGGGCATTCTCAGAAACTTCTTTGTGATGTGTGTCCTCAAGTAACAGAGTACAACCTGTCTTTTGATACAGCAGTTTGGAAACACTCTTTCTGTAGAATCTACAAGTGGATATTTGGATAGCTCAAGCTATTTCGTTGGAAACGGGAATAGCTTCATATAAACTCTAGACAGAAGCACTCTCAGAAACTACTTTTTGATATCTGTATTCAAGTCACAGAGTTGAATATTCCCTTTCTTAGAGCAGGTTTGAAACCGTCTTTTCGTGGAATCTGCAGGAGGATATTTGGATAGCTTTGGGGATTTCGTCGGAAACGGGATTACATATACAAAGTAGACAGCAGCATTCTCAGAAGCTGCTTCGTGATGTTTGCTTTTAAGTCACAGAGGTGAACATTCCCTTTCAGAGAGCAGGATTCAAACACTCATTCTGTAGTATCTGGAAGAGGACATTTCGAACGCTTTCAGGCCTATGGTGAACAAGGAAATATCTGCCCATACAAACTTGACAGAAGCATTCTCACAAACTGGTTTGGAATGTATGTCCTCAGCTAACAGAGTACAACCTGTCTTTTGATACAGCAGTATTGAAACACACTTTCTGTAGAATCTGCAAGTGGATATTTGGATAGCTCTAACGATTTCGTTGGAAACGAGGATACTTTAGTATAAAATCTAGACACAGGCACTCTCAGAAACTGCTCTGTGATATGTGCATTCAAGTCACAGAGTTGAACATTCCCTTTATTAGAGCAGGTTTGAAACACTGTTTTTGTAGTATCTGGAAGTGGACATTTGGAGCGCTTTGACGACTTTGCTGAAAAAGGAAATATCTTCTCTTCAAAACTAGACAGAAACATTCCCAGAAACTTCTTTGTGATGTGTGTCCTCAACTAACAGAGTTCAACCTCTCTTATGATACAGAAGTTTGGAAACACTCTTTTTGTAGTATATGCAAGGGGATATTTGGATAGCTCGAAGTATTTCGTTGGAAACGGGAATATCTTCATATAAAATCTAGACAGAAGCACTCTCAGAAACTACTTTGTGATAACTGCATTCAAGTCACAGTTGAATATTCCCTTTCTGAGAGCAGGTTTGAAACCGTCTTTTCTTGGAATCTGCAGGTGGATATTTTGATAGCTTTCAGGATTTCGTTGGAAAGGGGATTCCATATACAAAGTAGACAGTAGCATTCTCAGAAGCTTCTCTGTGATGTTAGCCTTTAAGTCACAGAGTTGAACATTCCCTTTCATAGAGCAGGGTTGAAACACTCTTTCTGTAGTATCTGGATGTGGACACTTGGAGCGCTTTGACGCTTACGGTGAAAAAGGAAATATCTTCCCATAAAAACTAGATAGA
>NC_000018.10:20813183-20830724 GCF_000001405.40 Homo sapiens
CAACCTGCTCTAAGAAAGAGAATGTTCAACTCCGTGACTGAATGCAGATATCAAAAAGCAGTTTCTGAGAGTGCCTCTGTCTAGAATTTATATGAAGTTATTCCCGTATCCAACGAAATCGTTACAGCTATCCAAATATCCACTTGCGTATTCTGCAAAAAGCGTGTTTCCAAACTGCTCTGTCAAACGAAATGGTCACCTCTGTGAGATGAGGACACACATCACAAACAAGTTTCTGCGAATGCTTCTGTCTAGTTTTTATGGGACGATATTTCCTTGTTACCATAGGCCTGAAAGCGCTCGAAATGTCCACTTCCAGATAGTAGAGAAAGAGGGTTTCAAACCTGCTCTATGGAAGGGAATATTCAACTCTGTGACTTAAAAGCAAACATCACAAAGAAGCTTCTGGGAATGCTGCTGTCTACTTTTTATATGCAATCCCGTGTGCAACGAAATCCTCAGAACTATCCTTATATCCAATTGCAGATTCCACAAAAAGAGCTTTTCAAAACTGATCTATCAATAGAAAGGTTCAACTCTGGTAGTTGAGTACATATATCGCAAGGAAGATTCTTGGAATGCTTCTGTCTAGTTTTTATGGAAGATATTTCCTTTTTCACCAAAGGCGTCAAAGCGCTCCAAATGTCCACTACCAGATACTACAAATAGATTGTCTCAAACCTGCTCTAAGAAAGGGAATGTTCAACTCTGTGACTTGAATGCAGATATCACAAAGCAGTTTCTGAGGGTGCCTCTGTCTAGATTTTATATGAAGGTATTCCCGTTTCCTATGAAATGGTTAGAGCTATGCAAATATCCACTTGCAGATTCTACAAAAAGAGTGTTTATAAACTGCTGTATCATAAGAAAGGATGAACTCTGTTAGTTGAGGACGCACATCACAAAGAAATTTTTGAGAATGCTTCCGTCTAGTTTTTATTGGAAGATATTTCCTTTTTCAACACAGGCCTGAAATCGCTCGAAATGTCCACTTCCAGATACTACAGAAAGAGTGTTTCAAACCTTCTCTACGGAAGGGAATATTGAACTCTGCGATTTAAAAGCAAAGATCACAAAGAAGCTTTTGAGAATGCTGCTGTCTACTTTTTATACGTAATCCCGTCTCCAACGAAATCCTCAGAGCTATTCTAATATCCACTTGCGGATTCCACAAAAAGAGCTTTTTAAAACTGATCTCTAAATAGAAAGGTTCAACTCTGTTAGTTGAGTACATATATCCCAAAGAAGTTTCTTAGAATGCTTCTGTCTAGTTTTTATGGGAAGACATTTCCTTTTTCACCAAAGGCGTCAAAGCGCTCCAAGTGTCCACTTCCAGATACTACAAAAAGAGAGTTTCAAACCTGCTCTAAGAAAGGGAATGTTCAACTCTGTGACTTGAATGCAGATATCACAAAGCAGTTTCTGAGAGTGCCTCTGTCTAGATTTCATATGAAGGTATTCCCGTATCCATCGAAATCGCTAGAGCTATCCAAATATCCTCTTGCAGATTCTACAAAAAGATTGTTTCCAAACTGCTGTATCAAAAGACAGGTTGTACTCTGTTAGTTGAGGACACACATCACGAAGAAGTTTCTGAGAATGCCTCTGGCTAGATTTTACCTGAAGATATTCCGGTTTCCAATGAAATCCTTAAAGCTATCCCAATATCCACTTGCAGATTCTCCAAAAAGAGTCTTTGAAAACTGTTCTGTAAATAGAAAGGTTCAACTCTGTTAGTTGAGGACACACATCACAAAGAAGTTTCAGCGAATGCTTCTCTCTAGTTTTTATGGGAAGATATTTCCTTTTTCACCGTAAGCGTCAAAGCGCTCAAAGTGTCCACATCCAGACACTACAGAAAGAGTGTTTCAAACCTGCTCTATCAAAGGGAATGTTCAACTCTGTGACGTGAATGCAGATATCACAAAGCAGTTTCTTAGAATATTTCTGCTTAGGTTTTGTATGAAGATACTCCCGTTTCCATCGAAATCCACAAAGCTATCCAAATATCCACTTTCAGATTCTACAAAAAGAGTGTTTCCAAACTGATCTCTCGAACGAAATGTTCAACTCTGTGAGTTGAGGACACACATTACAAACAAGTTTCTGCGAATGCTTCTGTCTAGTTTTTATGGGAAGATATTTCCTTTTTCACCATAGGCCTGAAAGTGCTCGAAATGTCCACTTCCAGATACTACAGAAAGAGTGTTTGAAACCTCCTCTATGAAAGGGAATTTTCAACTTTGTGACTTAAAAGCAAACATCACAAAGAAGCTTCTGAGAATGCTGCTGTCTACTTTGTATATGAAATCGTGTTTCCACCGAAATCCTCAAACCTATCCAAATATCCTCCTGCAGATTCCACGAAAAGACGGTTTCAAACCTGGTCTAAGAAAGGGAATATTGAACTCTGTGAGTTGAATGCAGATATCACAAAGTAGTTTCTGAGAGTGCTTCTGTCTAGATTTTATATGAAGTTATGCCCGTTTCCAACAAAATAGAGCTATCCAAATATCTACTTGCAAATTCTACATAAAGAGTGTTTCCAAACTGCTGTATCATAAGAAAGTTGAACTCTGTTAGTTGAGGACACACATCACAAAGAAGTTTCTGAGAATGCCACCGTCTAGATTTTACCTGAAGATATTCCGGTTTCCAAAGAAATCCTTAAAGCTCTCCAAATATCCACTTGCAGATTCTCCAAAAAGCGTCTTTCAAATCTGCTCTGTAATTAGAAAGGTTCAACTCTGTTAGCTGAGGACACACATCATAACGAAGTTTCTGGGAATGCTTCTGTATTGCTTTTATGGGAAGATATTTCCTTTTTCAACATAGGCCTGAAAGTGCTCGAAATGTCCACTTCCAGATACTACAAAAAAAGGGTTTCAAACCGGCTCTATGGAAGGGAATGTTGAACTCTGTGACTTAAAAGCAAACATCACAAAGAAGATTCTTAGAATGCTGCTGTCTACTTTTATATGTAATACCCTTTCCAACGAAATCCTCAGAGCTATCCTAAGATTCACTTGCAGATTCCACGAAAAGAGCTTTTCAAGACTGATCTATAAATAGAAAGGTTCAACTCTGTTAGTTGAGTACATATATACCAAAGAATTTTCTTAGAATGCTTCCATCGTGTTTTTATGGGAAGACATTTCTTTATCACTAAAGGTGTCAAAGCGCTCCAAAAGTCCACTTCCTGATAGTACAAAAAGAGTGTTTCCAAACTGCTGTATCATAACAAAGGCTGAACTCTGTTAGTTGAGGACACACATCACATAGAAGTTTCTGAGAATGCCTCTGTCTAGATTTTACCTGAAGATATTCCGGTTTCCAATGAAATCCTTAAAGCTTTCCAAATATACACTTGCAGATTCTCCAATAGAGTCTTTCAAAACTGCTCTGTAAATAGAAAGGTACAACCCTCTTAGTTGAGGACATACATCACAAACCAGTTTGTGAGAATGCTTCTGTCTGGTTTTTATGGGAAGATATTTCCTTTTTCACCGTAAGCGTCAAAGCGCTCCAAGTGTCCACATCCAGATACTACAGAAAGAGTGTTTCAAACCTGCTCTATGAAAGCGAATGTTCAATCCCGTGACGTGAATGCAGACATCACAAAGCAGTTTCTGAGAGTGCTTCTTTCTCGATTTTACATGAAGATATTCCCGTATCCAATGAAATCTTCAAAGTTTTCCAAATATCCACTTGCAGATTCTACAAAAAGAGTGTTTCCAAACTGCTGAATCAAAAGAAAGGTTCAACACTGTTAGTTGAGGACACACATCACAAATAAGTTTCTGAGAATGCTACTGTCTAGTTTTTATGGGAAGATGTTTCCTTTTTCAACGTAGCCCTGAAAGCGCTCGAAATGTCCACTTTCAGATACTACAGAAAGAGTGTTTCAAACCTGCTCTATGAATGGGAATGTTCAACTCTGTGACTTGAATGCAGATATCACAAAGTAGTTTCTGAGAGTGCTTCTGTCTAGATTTTGTATGAAGATATCCCCGTTTCCAACGAAATACTTAGAGCTATCCAAATATCCAATTGCATATTCTACCAAAAGCGTGTTTCCAAACTGCTGTATCATAAGAGAGGTTGAACTCTGTTAGTTGAGGACACACATCACAAAGAAGTTTCTGAGAATGCTTCTGTCTAGTTTTTTTGGGAAGATGTTTCCTTTTTCAACACAGGCCTGAAAGCGCTCGAAATGTCCACTTCCAGATACTACAGAAAGAGTGTTTCAAGCCTGCTCTATGGAAGGGAATATTCAACTCTGTGACTTAAAAGCAAACATCACAAAGAAGCTTCTGAGAATGCTGCTGTGTACTTTTTATATGTAATACCGTCTCCAACGAAATCCTCAGAGCTATCCGAATATCCACTTGCAGATTCCACAAAAAGAGCATTAAAAAGCTGATCTATAAAGAGCAAGGTTCAACTCGGTTAGTTGAGTACATATATCCCAAAGAAGTTTCTTAGAATGCTTCTGTCTAGTTTTTATGTGAAGACATTTCCTTTATCACCAAAGGCGTAAAAGCGCTCCAAATGTCCACTTCCAGATACTACAAAAAGAGTGTTTCAAACCTGCTCTAAGAAAGGGAATGTTCAACTCTGTGACTTGAATTGACATATCACAAAGCAGTTTCTGAGAGTGCGTCTGTCTAGATTTTATATTAAAGTATTCCCGTTTCCAACGAAATCGTTAGAGCTATCCAAATATCCAATTGCAGATTCTACAGAAAGAGTGTTTCAATACTGCTGTATCAAAAGACAGGTTGTACTCTGTTAGTTGAGGACCTACATCACAAACCAGTTTGTGAGAATGCTTCTGTCTAGTTTTTATGGGAAGATATTTCCTTTTTCACCGTAAGCGTCAAAGCGCTCCAAGTGTCCACATCCAGATACTACAGAAAGAGTCTTTCAAACCTGCTCTATGAAAGGGAATGTTCAACTCTGTGACGTGAATGGAGATATCACAAAGCAGTTTCTGAGAATGTTTCTGTCTATGTTTTATATGAAGATACTCCCATTTCCAACGAAATCCACAAAGCTATCCAAATATCCACTTGCAGATTCTACAAAAAGCGTGTTTCCAAACTGCTCTGTCAAACGAAATGTTCAAGTCTGTGAGTTTGGGACACATATCACAAACAAGTTTCTGCGAATGCTTCTGTCTAGTTTTTATGGGAAGATATTTCCTTTTTCACCATAGGCCTGAAAGCGCTCGAAATGTCCTCTTCCAGATACTACATAAAGAGTGTTTCAAACCTGCTCTCTGTAAGGGAATGTTCAACTCTGTGACTTAAAAGCAAACATCACAAAGCAGCTTCGTAGAATGCTGCTGTCTACTTTGTATATGTAATCCCGTTTCCAACGAAATCCTCAAAGTTATCCAAATATCCTCCTGCAGATTCCACGAAAAGACGGTTTCAAACCTGCTGTGAGAAAGGGAATATTCAACTCTGTGACTTGAATACAGATATCACAAAGTTTCTGAGAGTGCTTCTGTCTAGAGTTTATATGAAGATATTCCCGTTTCCAACGATATAGCTAGAGCTATCCAAATATCCACTTGCAGATTCTACAGAAAGAGTGTTTCCAAACTGCTGTATCAAAAGACAGGTTTTACTCTGTTACTTGAGGACACACATCACAAAGAACTTCCTGAGAATGCCTCTGTCTGGATTTTACCTGAAGATATTCCGGTTTCCAATGAAATCCTTAAAGCTTTCCAAATATCCACTTGCAGATTCTCCAATAGAGTCTTTCAAAACTGCTCTGTAAATAGAAAGTTTCAACTCTGTTAGTTGAGGACATACATCACAAACCACTTTGTGAGAATGCTTCTGTGTAGTTTTTATGGGAAGATACTTCCTTTTTCACCGTAAGCATCAAAGCGCTCCAAGTGTCCACATCAAGATACTACAGAAAGAGTGTTTCTGGGATTGTAAAGTAGTTCAACCATTGTGGAAGTCAGTGTGGCGATTCCTCAGGGATCTAGAACTAGAAATACCATTTGACCCAGCCATCCCATTACTGGGTATATACCCAAAGGACTATAAATCATGGTGCTATAAAGACACATGCACACGTATGTTTATTGCGGCACTATTCACAATAGCAAAGACTTGGAACCAGCCCAAATGTCCAACAATGATAGACTGGATTAAGGAAATGTGGCCCATATACACCATGGAATACTATGCAGCCATAAAAAATGATGTGTTCATATCATTTGTAGGGACATGGATGAAATTGGAAAATATCATTCTCAGTAAACTATCGCAAGAACAAAAAACGAAACACCGCATATTCTCACTTATAGGTGGGAATTGAACAATGAGATCACATGGACACAGGAAGGGGAATGTCACACTCTGGGGAATGTGGTGGGGTCGGGGGATGGAGGAGGGATAGCATTGGGAGATATGCCTAATGCTAGATGACACATTAGTGGGTGCAGCGCACCAGCATGGCAGATGTATACATATGTAACTAACCTGCACAATGTGCACATGTACCCTAAAGCTTAGAGTATAATAAAAAAAAAAAAAGAAGAGTGTTTCAAACCTGCTCTATGAAAGCGAATGTTCAATCCCGTGACGTGAATGCAGACATCACAAAGCAGTTTCTGAGAATGCTTCTGTCTCGAGTTTACATGAAGATATTCCCGTTTCCAACGAAATCTTCAAAGTTATCCAAATATCCACTTGCAGATTCTACAAAAAGAGTGTTTCCAAACTGCTGTATCAAAAGAAAGGTTCAACTCTGTTAGTTGAGGACACACATCACAAATAAGTTTCTGAGAATGCTTCTGTCTAGTTTTTATGGGAAGATATTTCCTTTTTCACCGTAAGCGTCAAAGCGCTCCAAGTGTCCACATCCAGATACTACAGAAAGAGTGTTTCAGACCTGCTCTATGGAAGGGAATATTCAACTCTGTGACTTAAAAGCAAACATCACAAAGAAGCTTCTGAGAATGCTGCTGTCTACTTTATATATGTAATCCAGTCTCCAACGAAATCCTCAGAGCTATCCGAATATCCACTTGCAGATTCCATAAAAAGAGCTTTTGAAAACTGATCTATAAATAGAATGATTCAACTCCGTTAGTTGAGTACATATATCCCAAAGAAGTTTCTGAGAATGCTTCTGTCTAGTTTTTATGTGAAGACATATCCTTTTTCAGCAATGGCGTCGAAGCGCACGAAACGTCCACTTCCAGATACTACAGAAAGAGTGTTTCAAACCTGCTCTATGAATGCGAATGTTCAACTCTGTGACTTAAAAGCAAACATCACAAAGAAGCCTCTGAGAATGCTGCTGTCTACTTTGTATATGTAATCCCGTTTCCAACGAAATCCTCAAAGCTATCCAAATATCCTCCTGCAGATTCCAAGAAAAGACTGTTTCAAACCTGCTCTGAGAAAGGGAATATTCAACTCTGTGACTTGAATGCAGATATCACGAAGTAGTTCCTGAGAGTGCTTCTGTCTAGATTTTATATGAAGATATCCCCGTTTCCAACGAAATACTTAGAGCTATCCAAATATCCCCTTGCATATTCTACCAAAAGAGTGTTTCCAAACTGCTGTATCATAAGAGAGGTTGAACTCTGTTAGTTGAGGACACACATCACAAAGAAGTTTCTGAGAATGCTTCTGTCTAGTTTTTTTGGGAAGATGTTTCCTTTTTCAACACAGGCCTGAAAGCGCTCGAAATGTCCACTTCCAGATACTACAGAAAGAGTGTTTCAAGCCTGCTCTACGGAAGGGAATATTCAACTCTGTGACTTAAAAGCAAACATCACAAAGAAGCTTTTGAGAATGCTGCTGTCTACTTTTTATATGTAATCCCGTCTCCAACGAAATCCTCAGAGCTATCCGAATATCCACTTGTAGATTGCATAAAAAGAGCTTTTGAAAACTGATCTATAAATAGAATGATTCAACTCCGTTAGTTGAGTACATATATCCCAAAGAAGTTTCATAGAATGCTTTTGTCTAGTTTTTATGTGAAGACATTTCCTTTATCACCAAAGGCGTCAAAGCGCTCCAAATGTCCACTTCCAGATACTACAAAAAGAGTGTTTCAAACCTGCTCTAAGAAAGGGAATGTTCAACTCTGTGAGTTGAATGCAGATATCACAAAGCAGTTTCCGACAGTGCCTCTGTCTAGATTTTATATGAAGGTATTCCCTTATCCAACGAAATCGTTAGAGCTATCCAAAGATCCAATTGCAGATTCTACAGAAAGAGTGTTTCAATACTGCTGTATCAAAAGACAGGTTGTACTCTGTTAGTTGAGGACCTACATCACAAACCAGTTTGTGAGAATGCTTCTATCTAGTTTTTATGGGAAGATATTTCCTTTTTCACCGTAAGCGTCAAAGCGCTCCAAGTGTCCACATCCAGATACTACAGAAAGAGTGTTTCAAACCTGCTCTATGAAAGGGAATGTTCAACTCTGTGACGTGAATGCAGATATCACGAAGCAGTTTGTGAGAATGTTTCTGTCTATGTTTTATATGGAGATACTCCCATTTCCAAAGAAATCCACAAAGCTATCCAAATATCTACTTGCAGATTCTACAAAAAGCGTGTTTCCAAACTGCTGTGTCAAACGAAATGTTCAACCCTGTGAGTTGAGGACACACATCACAAACAAGTTTCTGCGAATGCTTCTGTCTAGTTTTTATGGGAAGATATTTCCTTTTTCACCATAGGCCTGAAAGCGCTCGAAATGTCCTCTTCCAGATACTACCGAAAGAGTGTTTCAAACCTGCTCTATGTAAGGGAATGTTCAACACTGTGACTTAAAAGGAAACAGCACAAAGCAGCTTCTTAGAATGCTGCTGTCTACTTTCTATATGTAATCCCGTTTCCAACGAAATCCTCAAGGTTATCCAAATATCCTCCCGCAGATTCCACGAAGAGACGGCTTCAAACCTGCTCTAAGAAAGGGAATATTCAACTCTGTGACTTGAATACAGATATCACAAAGTAGTTTCTGAGAGTGCTTCTGTCTAGAGTTTATATGAAGATATTCCCGTTTCCAACGAAATGGCTACAGCTATCCAAATATCCACTTGCAGATTCTACAGAAAGAGTGTTTCCAAGCTGCTGTATCAAAAGACAGGTTGTACTCTGTTACTTTAGGACACACATCACAAAGAAGTTTCTGAGAAAGCCTCTGTCTAGATTTTACCTGAAGATATTCCGGTTTCCAAAGAAATCCTTAAAGCTTTCCAAATATCCACTTGCAGATTCTCCAATAGAGTCTTTCAAAACTGCTCTGTAAATAGAAAGGTTCAACTCTCTTAGTTGAGGACATACATCACAAACCAGTTTGTGAGAATGCTTCTGTCTAGTTTTTATGGGAAGATATTTCCTTTTTCACCGTAAGTGTCAAAGCGGTCCAAGTGTCCACATCCAGATACTACAGAAAGAGTGTTTCAAAACTGCTCTATGAAACGAATGTTCAACCCTGTGACGTGAATGCAGACATCACAAAGCAGTTTCTGAGAATGCTTCTGTCTCGATTTTACATGAAGATATTCCCGTTTCCAAAGAAATCTTCAAAGTTATCCAAATATCCACTTGCAGATTCTACAAAAAGAGTGTTTCCAAACTGCTGTATCAAAAGAAAGGTTCAACTCTGTTAGTTGAGGACACACATCACAAATAAGTTTCTGAGAATCCTTCTGTCTAGTTTTTATGGGAAGATATTTCCTTTTTCACCATGAGCCTGAAAGCGCTCGAAACGTCCACTTCCAGATACTACAGAAAGAGTGTTTCAAACCTGCTCTATGAATGCGAATGTTCAACTCTGTGACTTAAAAGCAAACATCACAAAGAAGCTTCTGAGAATGCTGCTGTCTACTTTTTATATGTAATCCCGTCTCCAACGAAATCCTCAGAGTTATCCGAATATCCACTTACAGATTCCATAAAAAGAGCGTTTGAAAACTGATCTATAAATAGAATGATTCAACTCCGTTAGTTGTGTACATATATCCCAAAGAAGTTTCTTAGAATGCTTCTGTCTAGTTTTTATGTGAAGACATTTCCTTTTTCACAAAAGGCGTCAAAGCGCTCCAAATGTCCACTTCCAGATACTACAAAAAGAGTGTTTCAAACCTGCCCGAAGAAAGGGAATGTTCAACTCTGTGACTTGAATGCAGATAACACAAAGCAGTTTCTGAGAGTGCCTCTGTCTAGATTTTATATGAAGGTATTCCCGTATCCAACGAAATCGTTAGAGCTATCCAAAGATCCAATTGCAGATTCTACAGAAAGAGTGTTTCAATACTGCTGTATCAAAAGACAGGTTGTACTCTGTTAGTTGAGGACCTACATCACAAACCAGTTTGTGAGAATGCTTCTGTCTAGTTTTTATGGGAAGATACTTCCTTTTTCACCGTAAGAATCAAAGCGCTCCAAGTGTCCACATCCAGATACTACAGAAAGAGTGTTTCAAACCTGCTCTATGAAAGGGAATGTTCAACTCTGTGACGTGAATACAGATATCACAAGTAGTTTCTGAGGGTGCTTCTGTCTAGAGTTTATATGAATATATTCCCGTTTCCAACGATATAGCTAGAGCTATACAAATATCTACTTGCAGGTTCTACAGAAAGTGTTTCCAAGCTGCGGTATCAAAAGACAGGTTGTACTCTGTTACTTGAGGACACACATCACAAAGAAGTTTGTGAGAATGCCTCTGTCTAGATTTTACCTGAAGATATTCCGGTTTCCAAAGAAATCCTTAAAGCTTTCCAAATATCCACTTGTAGATTCTCCAATAGAGTCTGTCAAAACTGCTCTGTAAATAGAAAGATGCAACTCTGTTAGTTGAGGACATACATCAGAAACTAGTTTGTGAGAATGCTTCTGTCTAGTTTTTAAGGGAAGATATTTCCTTTTTCACCATAAGCGTCAAAGCGCTCCAAGGGTCCACATCCAGATACTACAGAAAGAGTGTTTCAATTCTGCTCTATGAAAGCGAATGTTGAACTCTGTGACGTGAATGCAGACATCAGAAAACACTTTCTGAGAATGCTTCTGTCTCGATTTTACATGAAGATATTCCCGTTTCCAAAGAAATCTTCAAAGTTATCCAAATATCCACTTGCAGATTCTACAAAAAGTGTTTCCAAACTGCTGTATCAAAAGAAAGGTTCAACTCTGTTAGTTGAGGACACACATCACAAATAAGTTTCTGAGAATGCTTCAGTTTAGTTTTTATGGGAAGATATTTCCTTTTTCACCATGAGCCTGAAAGCGCTCGAAACGTCCACTTCCAGATACTACAGAAAGAGTGTTTCAAACCTGCTCTATGAATGCGAATGTTCAACTCTGTGACGTAAAAGAAAACATCATAAAGAAGTTTCTGAGAATGCTGCTGTCGAGTTTGTACATGTAATCCCGTTTCCAACGAAATCCTCAAAGCTATCCAAATATCCTCCTGCAGATTCCAAGAAAAGACGGTTTCAAACCTACTCTGAGAAAGGGAATATTCAAATCTGTGACTTGAATGGAGATATCACAAATTAGTTCCTGAGAGTGCTTCTGTCTAGATTTTATATGAAGATATTCCCGTTTCCAACGAAATACTTAGAGCTATCCAAATATCCCCTTGCATACTCTACAAAAAGAGTGTTTCCAAACTGCTGTATTATAAGAGAGGTTGAACTCTGTTCGTTGAGGACACACATCAAAAAGTAGTTTCTGAGAATGCTTCTGTCTAGTTTTTATGGGAAGATGTTTCGTTTTTCAACATAGGCCTGAAAGCGCTCGAAATGTCCACTTCCAGATACTACAGAAAGAGTGTTTCAAACCTGCTCTACGGAAGAGAATATTCAACTCTGTGACTTAAAAGCAAACATCACAAAGAAGCTTCTGAGAATGCTGCTGTCTACTTTTATACGTAATCCTGTCTCCAACGAAATCCTCAGAGTTATCCGAATATCCACTTGCAGATTCCATAAAAAAAGCGTTTGAAAACTGATCTATAAATAGAATGATTCAACTCCGTTAGTTGTGTACATATATCCGAAAGAATTTTCTTAGAATGCTTCTGTCTAGTTTTTATGTGAAGACATTTCCTTTTTCACAAAAGGCGTCAAAGCGCTCCAAATGTCCACTTCCAGATACTACAAAAAGAGTGTTTCAAACCTGCCCGAAGAAAGGGAATGTTCAACTCTGTGACTTGAATGCAGATATCACAAAGCAGTTTCTGAGAGTGGCTCGGTCTAGATTTCATATGAAGTTATTCCCGTATCCATCGAAATCGCTAGAGTTATCCAAAGATCCAATTGCAGATTCTACAGAAAGAGTGTTTCAATACTGCTGTATCAAAGGACAGGTTGTACTCTGTTAGTTGAGGACCTACATCACAAACCAGTTTGTGAGAATGCTTCTATCTAGTTTTTATGGGAAGATATTTCCTTTTTCACCGTAAGCGTCAAAGCGCTCCAAGTGTCCACATCCAGATACTACAGAAAGAGTGTTTCAACCCTGCTCTATGAAAGGGAATGTTCAACTCTGTGACTTAAAGGCTAACATCACAGAGAAGCTTCTGAGAATGCTACTGTCTACTTTGTATATGGAATCCCGTTTCCAACGAAATCCTGAATGCTATCGAAATATCCACCTGCAGACTCCAAGAAAAGACGGTTTCAAACCTGCTCTCAGAAAGGGAATATTCAACTCTGACTTGAATGCAGTTATCACAAAGTAGTTTCTGAGAGTGCTTCTGTCTAGATTTTATATGAAGGTATTCCCGTTTCCAACGAAATTCTTCGAGCTATCCAAATATCCCCTTGCATGTTCTACAGAAAGAGTGTTTCCAAACTTCTGTATCATAAGAGAGGTTGAACTCTGTTAGTTGAGGACACACATCACAAAGAAGTTTCTGAGAATGCTTCTGTCTAGTTTTTATGGGAAGATATTTCCTTTTTCACCAAAGACGTCAAAGCGCTCCAAATGTCCACTTCCAGATACTACAAAAAGAGTGTTTCAAACCTGCTCCAATAAAGGGAATGTTCAACGCTGTGACTTGAATGCACATATCACAAAGCAGTTTCTGAGAGTGCCTCTGTCTAGATTTTATATTAAAGTATTCCCGTTTCCAACGAAATCGTTAGAGCTATCCAAATATCCACTTGCAGATTCTACAGAAAGAGTCTTTCAATACTGCTGTATCAAAAGACAGGTTGTACTCTGTTAGCTGAGGACATACATCCCAAACCAGTTTGTGAGAATGCTTCTGTCAAGTTTTTATGGGAAGATATTTCCTTGTTCACCATAGGCCTGAAAGTGCTCGAAATGTCCTCTTCCAGATACTACAGAAAGAGTGTTGGAAACCTGCTCTATGAAAGGGAATGTTCAACTCTGTGACTTAAAAGCAAACATCACACAGCAGATTCTGAGAATGCTGCTGTCTACTTTGTACATGTAATCCCGTTTCCAGCGAAATCCTCAAAGCTATCCAAATATCCCCCTGCAGATTCCACGAAAAGACGGTTTCAAACCTGCTCTAAGAAAGGGAATATTCAACTCTGTGACTTGAATGCAGGTATCACAATGTAGTTTCTGAGAGTGCTTCTGTCTAGAGTTTATATGAAGATATTCCCGTTTCCAACGAAATAGCTTGAGCTATCCAACTATCCACTTGCAGATTCTACAGAAAGAGTGTTTCCAAACTGCTGTATCAAACGACAGGTTGTACTCTGTTACTTGAGGACACACATCACAAAGAAGTTTCTGAGAATGCCTCTGTCTAGATTTTACCTGAAGATATTCCGGTTTCCAAGGAAATCCTTAAAGCTTTCCAAATATGCACTTGCAGATTCTCCAATTGAGTGTTTCAAAACTGCTCTGTAAATAGAAAGGTTCAACTCTGTTAGTTGAGGACATACATCACAAACCACTTTGTGAGAATGCTTCTGTCTAGTTTTTATGGGAAGATATTTCCTTTTTCACCGTAAGCGTCAAAGCGCTCCAAGTGTCCACATCCAGATACTACAGAAAGAGTCTTTCAAACCTGCTCTATGAAAGCGAATGTTCAACTCTGTGACGTGAATGCACACATCACAAAGCAGTTTCTTTGAATGCTTCTGTCTCGATTTTACATGAAGATATTCCCGATTCCAACGAAATCTTCAAAATTTTCCAAATATCCCCTTGCAGATTCTACAAAAGTGTGTTTCCAAACTGCTGTATCAAAATAAAGGTTCAACTCTGTTAATTGAGGACACACATCACAAATAAGTTTCTGAGAATGCTTCTGTCTAGTTTTTATGGGAAGATATTTCCTTTTTCACCATAGGCCTGAAAGCGCTCGAAATGTCCACTTCCAGATGCTACAGATAGAGTGTTTCAAACCTGCTCTATGAAAGGGAATGTTCAACTCTGTGACTTAAAGGCAAGCATCACAGAGAAGATTCTGAGAATGCTACTGTCTACTTTGTATATGGAATCCCGTTTCCAACGAAATCCTGAAAGCTATCCAAATATCCACCTGCAGATTCCAAGAAAAGACGGTTTCAAACCTGCTCTCAGAAAGGGAATATTCAACTCTGACTTGAATGCAGTTTTCACAAAGTAGTTTCTGAGAGTGCTGCTTCTGTGTAGATTTTATATGAAGGTATTCCCGTTTCCAACGATATTCTTCGAGCTATCCAAATATCCCCTTGCATGTTCTACAGAAAGAGTGTTTCCAAACTTCTGTATCATAAGAGAGGTTGAACTCTGTTAGTTGAGGACACACATCACAAAGAAGTTTCTGAGAATGCTTCTGTCTAGTTTTTATGGGAAGATATTTCCTTTTTCACCAAAGGCGTCAAAGCGCTCCAAATGTCCACTTCCAGATACTACAAAAAGAGTTTTTCAAACCGGCTCCAATAAAGGGAATGTTCAACTCTGTGACTTGAATGCACATATCACAAAGCAGTTTCTGAGAGTGCCTCTGTCTAGATTTTATACTAAAGTATTCCCGTTTCCAAAGAAATCGTTAGAGCTATCCAAATATCCACTTGCAGATTCTACAGAAAGAGTGTTTCAATACTGCTGTATCAAAAGACAGGTTGTACTCTGTTAGCTGAGGACATACATCCCAAACAAGTTTGTGAGAATGCTTCTGTCAAGTTTTTATGGGAAGATATTTCCTTGTTCACCATATGCCTGAAAGCGCTCGAAATGTCCTCTTCCAGATACTACAGAAAGAGTGTTTGAATCCTGCTCTATGAAAGGGAATGTTCAACTCTCTGACTTAAAAGCAAACATCACACAGCAGCTTCTGAGAATGCTGCTATCTACTTTGTACTTGTAATCCCGTTTCCAACGAACTCCTCAAAGCTATCCAAATATCCTCCTGCAGATTCTACCCAAAGACGGTTTCAAACCTGCTCTAAGAAAGGGAATATTCAACTCTGTGACTTGAATACAGATATCACAAAGTAGTTTCTGAGAGTGCTTCTGTCTAGAGTTTATATGAAGCTATTCCCGTTTCCAACGAAATAGGTTGAGGTATCCAACTATCCACTTGCAGATTCTACAGAAAGAGTGTTTCCAAACTGCTGTATCAAAAGGCAGGTTGTACTCTGTTACTTGAGGACACACATCACAAAGAAGTTTCTGAGAATGCCTCTGTCTAGATTTTACATGAAGATATTCCGTTTTCCAATGAAATCCTTAAAGCTTTCCAAATATCCACTTGCAGATTCTCCAATTGAGTCTTTCAAAACTGCTCTGTAAATAGAAAGGTTCAACTCTGTTAGTTGAGGACATGCATCACAAACCAGTTTGTGAGAATGCTTCTGTCTAGTTTTTATGGGAAGATATTTCCTTTTTCACGGTAAGCGTCAAAGCGCTCCAAGTGTCCACATCCAGATACTACAGAAAGAGTCTTTCAAACCTGCTCTATGAAAGCGAATGTTCAACTCTGTGACGTGAATGCAGACATCACAAAGCAGTTTCTGAGAATGCTTCTGTCTCGATTTTACATGAAGATATTCCCGCTTCCAACGAAATCTTCAAAGTTATCCAAATATCCCCTTGCAGATTCTACAAAAAGTGTGTTTCCAAACTGCTGTATCAAAAGAAAGGTTCAACTCTGTTAGTTGAGGACACACATCACAAATAAGTTTCTGAGAATGCTTCTGTCTAGTTTTTATGGGAAGATATTTCCTTTTTCACCATAGGCCTGAATGCGCTCGAAATGTCCACTTCCAGATGCTGCAGATAGAGTGTTTCAAACCTGCTCTATGAAAGGGAATGTTCAACTCTGTGACTTAAAGGCAAACATCACAGAGAAGCTTCTGAGACTGCTACTGTCTACTTTGTATATGGAATCCCGTTTCCAACGAAATCCTGAAAGCTATCCAAATATCCACCTGCAGATTCCAAGAAAAGACGGATTCAAACCTGCTCTCAGAAAGGGAATATTCAACTCTGACTTGAATGCAGTTATCACAAAGTAGTTTCTGAGAGTGCTTCTGTCTAGATTTCATGTGAAGGTATTCCCGTTTCCAACGAAATTCTTCGAGCTATCCAAATATCCCCTTGCATGTTCTACAGAAAGAGTGTTTCCAAACTTCTGTATCATAAGAGAGGTTGAACTCTGTTATTTGAGGACACACATCACAAAGAAGTTTCTGAGAATGCTTCTGTCTAGTTTTTATGGGAAGATATTTCCTTTTTCACCAAAGGCGTCAAAGCGCTCCAAATGTCCATTTCCAGATACTACAGAAAGAGTGTTTCAAACCTGCTCCAATAAAGGGAATGTTCAACTCTGTGACTTGCATGCACATATCACAAAGCCGTTTCTGAGAGTGCCTCTGTCTAGATTTTATACTAAAGTATTCCCGTTTCCAACGAAATCGTTAGAGCTATCCAAATATCCACTTGCAGATTCTACAGAAAGAGTGTTTCAATACTGCTGTATCAAAAGACAGGTTGTACTCTGTTAGCTGAGGACATACATCCCAAACCAGTTTGTGAGAATGCTTCTGTCAAGTTTTTATGGGAAGATATTTCCTTGTTCATCATAGGCCTGAAAGCGCTAGAAATGTCCTCTTCCAGATACTACAGAAAGAGTGTTTGAAACCTGCTCTATGAAAGGGAATGTTCAACTCTGTGACTTAAAAGCAAATATCACACAGCCGCTTCTGAGCATGGTGCTGTCTACTTTGTACATGTAATCCCGTTTCCAACGAAATCCTCAAAGCTATCCAAATATCCTCCTGCAGATTCCACGAAAAGACGGTTTCAAACCTGCTCTAAGAAAGGGAATATTCAACTCTGTGACTTGAATACAGATATCACAAAGTAGTTTCTGAGAGTGCTTCTGTCTGGAGTTTATATGAAGATATTCCCGTTTCAAACGAAATAGCTTGAGCTATCCAACTATCCACTTGCAGATTCTACAGAAAGAGTGTTTCCAAACTGCTGTATCAAAAGACAGGTTGTACTGTGTTACTTGAGGACAGACATCACAAACAAGTTTCTGAGAAGGCCTCTGTCTAGATATTTC
>NC_000018.10:20831341-20835547 GCF_000001405.40 Homo sapiens
TATTCCCGTTTCAACGAAATAGCTTGAGCTATCCAACTATCCACTTGCAGATTCTACAGAAAGAGTGTTTCCAAACTGCTGTATCAAAAGACAGGTTGTACTGTGTTACTTGAGGACAGACATCACAAACAAGTTTCTGAGAAGGCCTCTGTCTAGATATTATCTGAAGATATTCCGGTTTCCAATGAAATCCTTAAAGCTTTCCAAATATCCACTTGCAGATTCTCCAATTGAGTCTTTCAAAACAGCTCTGTAAATAGAAAGGTTCAACTCTGTTAGTTGAGGACATACATCACAAACCAGTTTGTGAGAATGCTTCTGTCTAATTTTTATGGGAAGATATTTCCTTTTGCACCGTAAGCGTCAAAGCGCTCCAAGTGTCCACATCCAGATACTACAGAAAGAGTCTTTCAAACATGCTCTATGAAAGCGAATGTTCAACTCGGTGACCTGAATGCAGACATCACAAAGCAGTTTCTGAGAAAGCTTCTGTCTCAATTTCACATGAAGATATTCCCGCTTCCAACGAAATCTTCAAAGTTATCCAAATATCCACTTGCAGATTCTACAAAAAGGGTGTTTCCAAACTGCTGTACCAAAAGAAAGGTTCAACTCTGTTACTTGAGGACACACATCACAAATAAGTTTCTGAGAATGCTTCTGTCTAGTTTTTATGGGAAGATATTTCCTTTTTCACCATAGGCCTGAAAGCCCTCGAAATGTCCACTTCCAGATACTACAGAAAGAGTGTTTCAAACCTGCTCTATGAAAGGGAATTCTCAACTCTGTGACTTAAAAGCAAACATCACAGAGAAGCTTCTGAGAATGCTACTGTCTACTTTGTATATGTAATCCCCTTTCCAAGGAATTCCTGAAAGCTTTCCAAATATCCGCCTGCAGATTCCAAGAAAAGACGGTTTCAAACCTGCTCTAAGAAAGGGAATGTTCGACTCTGTGACTTGAATGCAGATATCACAAAGTAGTTTCTGAGAGTGCTTCTGTCTAGATTTTATATGAAGTTATTCCAGTTTCCAACGAAATACTTCAAGCTATCCAAATAACCCCTGGCATATTCTACAAAAAGAGTGTTTCCAAACTTCTGTATCATAAGAGAGGTTGAACTCTGTTAGTTGAGGACACACATCACAAACAAGTTTCTGAGAATGCTTCTGTGTAGTTTTTTAGGGAAGATATTTCCTTTTTCACCAAAGGCGTCAAAGCGCTGGAAATGTCCACTTCCAGATGCTACAGATAGGGTGTTTCAAACCTGCTCTATGAAAGGGAATGTTCAACTCTGTGACTTAAAGGCAAACATCACAGAGAAGCTTCTGAGACTGCTACTGTCTACTTTGTATATGGAATCCCGTTTCCAACGAAATCCTGAAAGCTATCCAAATATCCACCTGCAGATTCCAAGAAAAGACGGTTTCAAACCTGCTCTCAGAAAGGGAATATTCAACTCTGACTTGAATGCAGTTATCACAAAGTAGTTTCGGAGAGTGCTTCTGTCTAGATTTTATATGAAGGTATTCCCGTTTCCAACGAAATTCTTCAGGCTATCCAAATATCCCCTTGCATGTTCTACAGAAAGAGTGTTTCCAAACTTCTGTATCATAAGAGAGGTTGAACTCTGTTAGTTGAGGAAACACATCACAAAGAAGTTTCTGAGAATGCTTCTGTCTAGTTTTTATGGGAAGATATTTCCTTTTTCACCAAAGGCGTCAAAGCGCTCCAAATGACCACTTCCAGATACTACAAAAAGAGGGTTTCAAACCTGCTCCAATAAAGGGAATGTTCAACTCTGTGACTTGAATGCACATATCACAAAGCAGTTTCTGAGAGTGCCTCTGTCTAGATTTTGCATTAAGTTATTCCCGTTTCCAAAGAAATCGTTAGAGCTATCCAAATATCCACTTGCAGATTCTACAGAAAGAGTCTTTCAATACTGCTGTATCAAAAGACAGGTTGTACTCTGTTAGCTGAGGACATACATCCCAAACCAGTTTGTGAGAATGCTTCTGTCAAGTTTTTATGGGAAGATATTTCCTTTTTCACCGAAAGCGTCAAAGCGCTCGAAATGTCCTCTTCCAGATACTACAGAAAGAGTGTTTGAAACCTGCTCTATGAAAGGGAATGTTCAACTCTGTGACTTAAAAGCAAACATCACACAGCAGCTTCTGAGAATGCTGCTGTCTACTTTGTACATGTAATCCCGTTTCCAAAGAAATCCTCAAATCTATCCAAATATCCTCCTGCAGATTCCACGAAAACACGGTTTCAAACCTGCTGTAAGAAAGGGAATATTCAACTCTGTGACTTGAATACAGATATCACAAAGTAGTTTCTGAGAGTGCTTCTGTCTAGAGTTTATATGAAGATATTCCCGTTTCCAACGAAATAGCTTGAGCTATCCAACTATCCACTTGCAGATCCTACAGAAAGAGTGTTTCCAAACTGCTGTATCAAAAGACAGGTTGTACTCTGTTACTTGAGGACACACATCACAAAGAAGTTTCTGAGAATGCCTCTGTCTAGATTTTACCTGAAGATATTCCGGTTTCCAAAGAAATCCTTAAAGCTTTCCAAATATCCACTTGCAGATTCTCCAATTGAGTCTTTCAAAACTGCTCTGTAAATAGAAAGGTTCAACTCTGTTAGTTGAGGACATACATCACAAACCAGTTTGTGAGAATGCTTCTGTCTAGTTTTTATGGGAAGATATTTCCTTTTTCACCGTAAGCGTCAAAGTGCTCCAAGTGTCCACATCCAGATACTACAGAAAGAGTCTTTCAAACCTGCTCTATGAAAGCGAATGTTCAACTCTGTGACGTGAATGCAGACATCACAAAGCAGTTTCTGAGAATGCTTCTGTCTCGATTTTACATGAAGATATTCCCGTTTCCAACGAAAGCTTCAAAGTTATCCAAATATCCCCTTGCAGATTCTACAAAAAGTGTGTTTCCAAACAGCTGTATCAAAAGAAAGGTTCAACTCTGTTAGTTGAGGACACACATCAGAAATAAGTCTGAGAATGCTTCTGTCTAGTTTTTATGGGAAGATATTTCCTTATTCACCATAGGCCTGAAAGCGCTCGAAATGTCCACTTCCAGATGCTACAGATAGAGTGTTTCAAACCTGCTCTATGAAAGGGAATGTTCAACTCTGTGACTTAAAGGCAAACATCACAGAGAAGCTTCTGAGAATGCTACTGTCTACTTTGTATATGGAATCCCGTTTCCAACGAAATCCTGAAAGCTATCCAAATATCCTCCTGCAGATTCCAAGAAAAGACGGTTTCAAACCTGCTCTCATAAACGAATATTCAACTCTGACTTGAATGCAGTTATCACAAAGTAGTTTCTGAGAGTGCTTCTGTCTAGATTTTATATGAAGTTATTCCCGTTTCCAACGAAATTCTTCGAGCTATCCAAATATCCCCTTGCATGTCCTACAGAAAGAGTGTTTCCAAACTTCTGTATCATAAGAGAGGTTGAACTCTGTTAGCTGAGGACACACATCACAAAGAAGTTTCTGAGAATGCTTCTGTCTAGTTTTTATGGGAAGATATTTCCTTTTTCACCAAAGGCGTCAAAGCGCTCCAAATGTCCACTTCCAGATACTACAAAAAGAGTGTTTCAAACCTGCTCCAATAAAGGGAATGTTCAACTCTGTGACTTGAATGCACATATCACAAAGCAGTTTCTGAGAGTGCCTCTGTCTAGATTTTATATTAAAGTATTCCCGTTTCCAACGAAATCGTTAGAGCTATCCAAATATCCACTTGCAGATTCTACAGAAAGAGTGTTTCAATACTGCTCTATCAAAAGACAGGTTGTACTCTGTTAGCTGAGGACATACATCCCAAACCAGTTTGTGGGAATGCTTCTGTCAAGTTTTTATGGGAAGATATTCCCTTGTTCACCATAGGCCTGAAAGCGTTCGAAATGTCCTCTTCCAGATACTACAGAAAGAGTGTTGGAAACCTGCTCTATGAAAGGGAATGTTCAACTCTGTGAGTTAAAAGCAAACATCACACAGCAGCTTCTGAGTATGATGCTGTCTACTTTGTACATGTAATCCCGTTTCCAACGAAATCCTCAAAGCTATCCAAATATCCTCCTGCAGATTCCACGAAAAGACGGTTTCAAACCTGCTCTAAGAAAGGGAATATTCAACTCTGTGACTTGAATACAGATATCACAAAGT
>NC_000018.10:20835592-20839697 GCF_000001405.40 Homo sapiens
ATGAGATATTCCCCTTTCCAACGAAATAGCTTGAGCTATCCAACTATCCACTTGCAGATTCTACAGAAAGAGTGTTTCCAAACTGCTGTATCAAAAGACAGGTTGTACTCTGTTACTTGAGGACACACATCACAAAGAAGTTTCTGAGAATGCCTCTGTCTAGAGTTTACCTGAAGATATTCCGGTTTCCAAGGAAATCCTTAAAGCTTTCCAAATATCCACTTGCAGATTCTCCAATTGAGTCTTTCAAAACTGCTCTGTAAATAGAAAGGTTCAACTCCGTTAGTTGAGGACATACATCACAAACCAGTTTGTGAGAATGCTTCTGTCTAGTTTTTATGGGAAGATATTTCCTTTTTCATCGTAAGCGTCAAAGCGCTCCAAGTGTGCACATCCAGATACTACAGAAAGAGTCTTTCAAACCTGCTCTATGAAAGCGAATGTTCAACTCTGTGACGTGAATGCAGACATCACAAAGCAGTTTCTGAGAATGCTTCTTTCTCGATTTTACATGAAGATATTCCTGCTTCCAACGAAATCTTCAAAGTTATCCAAATATCCCCTTGCAGATTCTACAAAATGTGTGTTTCCAAACTGCTGTATCAAAAGAAAGGTTCAACTCTGTTAGTTGAGGACACACATCACAAATAAGTTTCTGAGAATGCTTCTGTCTAGTTTTTATGGGAAGATATTTCCTTTTTCACCATAGGCCTGAAAGCACTCGAAATGTCCACTTCCAGATGCTACAGATAGAGTGTTTCAAACCTGCTCTATGAAAGGGAATGTTCAACTCTGTGACTTAAAGGCAAACATCACAGAGAAGATTCTGAGAATGCTACGGTCTACCTTGTATATGGAATCCCGTTTCCAACGAAATCCTGAAAGCTATCTAAATATCCACCTGCAGATTCCAAGAAAAGACGGTTTCAAACCTGCTCTCAGAAAGGGAATATTCAACTGTGACTTGAATGCAGTTATCACAAAGTAGTTTCTGAGAGTGCTTCTGTCTAGATTTTATATGAAGGTATTCCCCTTTCCAAGGAAATTCTTCGAGCTATCCAAATATCCCCTTGCATGTTCTACAGAAAGAGTGTTTCCAAACTTCTGTATCATAAGAGAGGTTGAACTCTGTTAGTTGAGGACACACATCACAAAGAAGTTTCTGAGAATGCTTCTGTCTAGTTTTTATGGGAAGATATTTCCTTTTTCACCAAAGGCGTCAAAGCGCTCCAAATGTCCACTTCCAGATACTACAAAAAGAGTGTTTCAAACCTGCTCCAATAAAGGGAATGTTCAACTGTGTGACTTGAATGCACATATCACAAAGCAGTTTCTGAGAGTGCCTCTGTCTAGATTTTATACTAAAGTATTCCCGTTTCCAACGAAATCGTTAGAGCTATCCAAATATCCACTTGCAGATTCTACAGAAAGAGTGTTTCAATACTGCTGTATCAAAAGACAGGTTGTACTCTGTTAGCTGAGGACATACATCCCAAACCAGTTTGTGAGAATGCTTCTGTCAAGTTTTTATGGGAAGATATTTCCTTGTTCACCATAGGCCTAAAAGCGCTCGAAATGTCCTCTTCCAGATACTACAGAAAGAGTGTTTGAAACCTGCTCTATGAAAGGGAATGTTCAACTCTGTGACTTAAAAGCAAACATCACACAGCAGCTTCTGAGAATGCTGCTATCTACTTTGTACATGTAATCCCTTTTCCAACGAAATCCTCAAAGCTATCCAAATATCCTCCTGCAGATTCCACGAAAAGACGGTTTCAAACCTGCTCTAAGAAAGGGAATATTCAACTCTGTGACTTGAATACAGATATCACAAAGTAGTTTCTGAGAGTGCTTCTGTCTAGAGTTTATATGAAGCTATTCCCGTTTCCAACGAAATAGCTTGAGCTATCCAACTATCCACTTGCAGATTCTACAGAAAGAGTGTTTCCAAACTGCTGTATCGAAAGACAGGTTGTACTCTGTTACTTGAGGACACACATCACAAAGTAGTTTCTGAGAAGGCCTCTGTCTAGATTTTACCTGAAGATATTCCGGTTTCCAATGAAATCCTTAAAGCTTTCCAAATATCCACTTGCAGATTCTCCAATTGAGTCTTTCAAAACAGCTCTGTAAATAGAAAGGTTCAACACTGTTAGTTGAGGACATACATCACAAACCAGTTTTTGAGAATGCTTTTGTCTAGTTTTTATGGGAAGATATTTCCTTTTTCATCGTAAGCGTCAAAGCGCTCCAAGTGTCCACATCCAGATACTACAAAAAGAGTCTTTCAAACCTGCTCTATGAAAGCGAATGTTCAACTCTGTGACGTGAATGCAGACATCACAAAGCAGTTTCTGAGAATGCTTCTGTCTCGATTTTACATGAAGATATTCCCGCTTCCAACGAAATCTGCAAAGTTATCAAATATCCCCTTGCAGATTCTACAAAAAGTGTGTTTCCAAACTCCTCTGTCAAACGAAATGTTCAACTCTGTGAGTTGAGGACACACATCACAAACAAGTTTCTGCGAAGGCTTCTGTTTAGTTTTTATGGGAAGATATTTCCTTTTTCACCATAGGCCTGAAAGCGCTCCAAATGTCCACTTCCAGATGCTACAGATAGAGTGTTTCAAACCTCCTCTATGAAGGGAATGTCCAACTCTGTGACTTAAAGGCAAACATCACAGAGAAGCTTCTGAGAATGCTACTGTCTACTTTGTATATGGAATCCCGTTTCCAACGAAATCCTGAAAGCTATCCAAATATCCACCTGCAGATTCCAAGAAAAGACGGTTTCAAACCTGCTCTCAGAAAGGGAATATTCAACTGTGACTTGAATGCAGTTATCACAAAGTAGTTTCTGAGAGTGCTTCTGTCTAGATTTTATATGAAGGTATTCCCGTTTCCAACGAAATTCTTCGAGCTATCCAAATATCCCCTTGCATGTTTTACAGAAAGAGTGTTTCCAAACTTCTGTATCATAAGAGAGGTTGAACTCTGTTAGTTGAGGGCACACATCACAAAGAAGTTTCTGAGAATGCTTCTGTCTAGTTTTTATGGGAAGATATTTCCTTTTTCACCAAAGGCGTCAAAGCGCTCCAAATGTCCACTTCCAGATACTACAAAAAGAGTGTTTCAAACCTGCTCTAATAAAGGGAATGTTCAACTCTGTGACTTGAATGCACATATCACAAAGCAGTTTCTGAGAGTGCCTCTGTCTAGATTTTATATTAAATATTACCCTTTCCAACGAAATCGTTAGAGCTATCCAAATATCCACTTGCAGATTCTACAGAAAGAGTGTTTCAATACTGCTGTATCAAAAGACAGGTTGTACTCTGTTAGCTGAGGACATACATCCCAAACCAGTTTGTGAGAATGCTTCTGTCAAGTTTTTATGGGAAGATATTTCCTTGTTCACCATAGGCCTGAAAGCGCTCGAAATGTCCTCTTCCAGATACTACAGAAAGAGTGTTTGAAACCTGCTCTCTGAAAGGGAATGTTCAACTCTGTGACTTAAAAGCAAACATCACAAAGCAGCTTCTGAGAATGCTGCTGTCTACTTTGTATATGTAATCCCGTTTCCGACGAAATCCCCAAAGCTATCCAAATATCCTCCTGCAGATTCCACGAAAAGACGGTTTCAAACCTGCTCTAAGAAAGGGAATATTCAACTCTGTGACTTGAATACAGATATCACAAAGTAGTTTCTGAGAGTGCTTCTGTCTAGAGTTTATATGAAGCTATTCCCGTTTCCAACGAAATAGCTTGAGCTATCCAAATATCCACTTGTAGATTCTACAGAAAGAGTGTTTCCAAACTGCTGTATCAAAAGACAGGTTGTACTCTGTTACTTGAGGACACACATCACAAAGAAGTTTCTGAGAATGCCCTTGTCGAGATTTTACCTGAAGATATTCCGGTTTCCAATGAAATCCTTAAAGCTTTCCAAATATCCACTTGCAGATTCTCCAATAGAGTCTTTCAAAACAGCTCTGTAAATAGAAAGGTTCAACTCTGTTAGCTGAGGACACACATCACAAACCAGTTTGTGAGAATGCTTCTGTCTAGTTTTTATGGGAAGATATTTCCTTTGCACCGTAAGC
>NC_000018.10:20839797-20850725 GCF_000001405.40 Homo sapiens
AGCATTCTAAGAGAATTCTTTGGGATATACGTACTCAACTAACAGAGTTGAACCTTTCTATTTATAGATCAGTCTTGAAAAGCTCTTTTCGTGGAATCTGCAAGTGAATCTTAGGATAGCTCTGAGGATTGCGTTGGAAACGGGATTACATATAAAAAGTAGACAGCGGCATTCTCAGAAACTTCTTTGTGATGTGTGTCCTCAACTAACAGAGTTCAGCCTTTGTTATGATACAGCAGTTTGGAAACACTCTTTTTGTACTATCAGGAAGTGGACTTCTGGAGCGCTTTGACACCTTTGGTGATAAAGAGATGTCTTCCCATAAAAACTAGACGGAAGCATTCTCAAAAACTAGTTTGTGATGTATTTCCTCAACTAACAGAGTTGAACCTTTCTATTTACAGAGTAGTTTTGAAAGACTCTTTTTGGAGAATCTGCAAGTGGATATTTGGAGAGCTTTAAGGATTTCATTGTAAACCGGAATATCTTCAGGTAAAATCTAGACAGAAACATTCTCAGAAACTGCTTTGTGATGTCTGCATTCACGTCACGGAGTTGAACATTCCCTTTCATAGAGCAGGTTTGAAACTCCCTTTCTGTAGTATCTGGATGTGGACACTTGGAGGGCTTTGACGCTTACGGTGAAAAAGGAAATATGTTCCCATGAAAACTAGACAGAAGCATTCGCAGAAACTTGTTTGTGATGTGTGTCCTCAACTCACAGAGTTGAACATTTCGTTTGACAGAGCAGTTTGGAAACACGCTTTTTGTAGAATCTGCAAGTGGATATTTGGATAGCTTTGTGGATTTCCTTGGAAACGGGAGTATCTTCATATAAAACCTAGAAAGAAGCATTCTCAGAAGCTTCTTTGTGATGTTTGCTTTTAAGTCACAGAGTTGAACATTCCCTTTCATAGAGCAGTTTTGAAACACTCTTTCTGTAGTATCTGGAAGTGGACATTTCGAGTGCTTTCCGAACTATCGTGAAAAAGGAAATATCTTCCGATAAAAACTAGACAGAAGCACTCTCAGAAACTACATTCTAATATCTGCATTCAAGTCACAGAGTTGAATATTCCCTTTCTTAGAGCAGGTTTGAAACCGTCTTTTCGTGGAATGTGCAGGAGGATATTTGGATAGCTTTGAGGATTTCGTTGGAAAAGGGATTACATATACAAAGTAGAAAGCAGCATTCTCAGAAATTTCTTTGTGATGTGTGTCCTCAACTAACAGAGTTCAAACTGTCTTATGATACAGCAGTTTGGAAACACTCCTTTTGTAGAATATGCAAGTGGATACTTGGATAGCTCTAACTATTTCGTTGGAAACGGGAATATCATCATATAAAATCTAGACACAAGCATTCTCAGAAGCTTCTTTGTGATGTTTGCTTTTAAGTCACAGAGTTGAATATTCCCTTCCATAGAGCAGGATTGAAACACTCTTTCTGTAGTATCCGGAAGTGGACATTTCGGGTGATTTCAGTCCTATGTTGAAAAAGGAAATATCATCCCATAAAAACTAGACAGAAGCATTCTCAGAAACTTCTTTGGGATATATGTACTCAACTAACAGAGTTGAACCTTTCTATTTCTGGGTCAGTTTTGAGAAGCTCTTTTTCTGTAATCTGCAAGTGGATATTCGGATAGCTCTGAGGATTTCCTTGGAAATGGGATTTCATATAAAATGTAGACAGCAGCATTCTCAGAAACTTGTTTGTGCTGTGTGTACTCAACTGACAGAGCTGAACTTTTCTTTCTACACAGCAGTTTTGAAAAACTCTTTTTGTAGTATCTGCAAGTGGATAATTGGATGGCTTTAAGGATTTCGTTGGAAATGGGTCTACATTCATGTAAAATCTACACAGAGGCACTCTCAGAAACTACTTTGTGAGATCTGCATTCAAGTCACAGAGTTCAACATTCCCTTTCGTAGATCTGGTTTGATAGACTCTTTTTGTTGTATCTGGAAGTGGACATTTGGAGCGCTTTGACGACTTTGGTGAAAAAGGAAATATCTTCCCATAAAAACTAGACAGAGGCATTCTCAGAAACTTCTTCATGATGTGCGTCCTCAACTAACAGAGTACAACCTGTCTTTTGATACATCAGTTTGGAAACACTCTTTTTGTAGAATCTGGAAGTGGATATTTCGATAGCTCTAACGATTTCGTTGGAAACGGGAATAGCTTCATATAAAATCTAGGCAGAAGCATTCTCACAAACTGGTTTGTGATGTATGTCCTCAACTAACAGAGTTGAACCTTTCTATTTACAGAGCAATTTTCAAAGACTCTTTTTGGAGAATCTGCAAGTGGATATCTGGAGATCTTTTAGGATTTCATTGGAAACCGGAATATCTTCAGGTAAAATCTAGACAGAAACATTCTCCGAAACTCCTTTGTAATGTCTGCATTCACGTCACAGAGTTGAACATTCCCTTTCATAGAGCAGGTTTGAAACACTCTTTCTGAAGTATCTGGATGTCGACACTTGGAGCGCTTTGACGCTTACACTGAAAAAGGAAATAACTTCCCATGAAAACTAGACAGAAGCATTCGCAGAAACTTGTTTGTGATGTGTGTCCTCAACCAACAGAGTTGAACATTTCCTGTGACAGAGCAGTTTGGAAACACGCTTTTTGTAGAATCTGCAATTGGATATTTGGATAGCTTTGTGGATGTCGTTGGAAACGGGAGTATCTTCATATAAAACCTAGACGGAAACATTCTCAGAAGCTTCTTTGTGATGTTTGCTTCTAAGTCACAGGGTTGAACATTCCCTTTCATACAGCAGGTTTGAAACACTCTTTCTGTAGTATCTGGAAGTGGACATTTCGAGCGCTTTCAGGCCCATGGTGAAAAAGGAAATATCTCCCCATAAAAACTAGACAGAAGCACTCTCAGAAACTACATTGTGATATCTGTATTCAAGTCACAGAGTTGAATATTCCCTTTCTTAGAGCAGGTTTGAAACCGTCTTTTCGTGGAAGCTGCAGGAGGATATTTGGATAGCTTTGAGGATTTCGTTGGAAACGGGATTACATATACAAAGTAGACAGCAGCATTCTCAGAAACTTCTTTGTGATGTGTGTCCTCAACTAACAGAGTTCAACCTCTCGTATAATACAGCAGTTTGAAAAAACACTTTTTGTAGAATATGCAAGTGGATATTTGAACAGCTCTAACTATTTCGTTCGAAATGGGAATATCTTCATATAAAATCTAGACAGAAGCATTCTCAGAAACTTCTTTGTGATGTTTGCTTTTAAGTCACAGAGTTCAATATTCCCTTCCATAGAGCCGGTTTGAAACACTTTTTTTGTAGTATCTGGAAGTGGACATTTCGAGCGATTTCAGGCCTATGTTGAAAAAGGAAACATCTTCCCATAAAAAAAGACAGAAGCATTCTAAGAGAATTCTTTGGGATATAAGTACTCAACTAACAGAGTTGAACCTTTCTATTTATAGATCAGTCTTGAAAAGCTCTTTTCGTGGAATCTGCAAGTGAATCTTAGGATAGCTCTGAGGATTTCGTTGGAAATCGGATTACATATAAAAAGTAGACAGCGGCATTCTCAGAAACTTCTTTGTGATGTGTGTCCTCAACTAACAGAGTTCAGCCTTTGTTATGATACAGCAGTTTGGAAACACTCTTTTTGTACTATCAGGAAGTGGACTTTTGGAGCGCTTTGACACCTTTGGTGATAAAGAGATGTCTTCCCATAAAAACCAGACGGAAGCATTCTCAAAAACTAGTTTGTGATGTATTTCCTCAACTAACAGAGTTGAACCTTTCTATTTACAGAGTAGTTTTGAAAGACTCTTTTTGGAGAATCTGCAAGTGGATATTTGGAGAGCTTTAAGGATTTCATTGTAAACCGGAATATCTTCAGGTAAAATCTAGACAGAAACATTCTCAGAAACTGCTTTGTGATGTCTGTATTCACGTCACAGAGTTGAATATTTCCTTTCATAGAGCAGGTTTGAAACACTCTTTCTGTAGTATCTGGATGTGGACACTTGGAGCGCTTTGAGGCTTACGGTGCAAAAGGAAATATCTTCCAATGAAAACTAGACAGAAGCATTCGCAGAAACTTGTTTGTGATGTGTGTCCTCAACTCACAGAGTTGAACATTTCGTTTGACAGAGCAGTTTGGAAACACGCTTTTTGTAGAATCTGCAAGTGGATATTTGGATAGCTTTGTGGATTTCCTTGGAAACGGGAGTATCTTCATATAAAACCTAGAAAGAAGCATTCTCAGAAGCTTCTTTGTGATGTTTGCTTTTAAGTCACAGAGTTGAACATTCCCTTTCATAGAGCAGTTTTGAAACACTCTTTCTGTAGTATCTGGAAGTGGACATTTCGAGTGCTTTCCGAACTATCGTGAAAAAGGAAATATCTTCCGATAAAAACTAGACAGAAGCACTCTCAGAAACTACATTCTAATATCTGCATTCAAGTCACAGAGTTGAATATTCCCTTTCTTAGAGCAGGTTTGAAACCGTCTTTTCGTGGAATGTGCAGGAGGATATTTGGATAGCTTTGAGGATTTCGTTGGAAAAGGGATTACATATACAAAGTAGAAAGCAGCATTCTCAGAAATTTCTTTGTGATGTGTGTCCTCAACTAACAGAGTTCAAACTGTCTTATGATACAGCAGTTTGGAAACACTCCTTTTGTAGAATATGCAAGTGGATACTTGGATAGCTCTAACTATTTCGTTGGAAACGGGAATATCATCATATAAAATCTAGACACAAGCATTCTCAGAAGCTTCTTTGTGATGTTTGCTTTTAAGTCACAGAGTTGAATATTCCCTTCCATAGAGCAGGATTGAAACACTCTTTCTGTAGTATCCGGAAGTGGACATTTCGGGTGATTTCAGTCCTATGTTGAAAAAGGAAATATCATCCCATAAAAACTAGACAGAAGCATTCTCAGAAACTTCTTTGGGATATATGTACTCAACTAACAGAGTTGAACCTTTCTATTTCTGGGTCAGTTTTGAGAAGCTCTTTTTCTGTAATCTGCAAGTGGATATTCGGATAGCTCTGAGGATTTCCTTGGAAATGGGATTTCATATAAAATGTAGACAGCAGCATTCTCAGAAACTTGTTTGTGCTGTGTGTACTCAACTGACAGAGCTGAACTTTTCTTTCTACACAGCAGTTTTGAAAAACTCTTTTTGTAGTATCTGCAAGTGGATAATTGGATGGCTTTAAGGATTTCGTTGGAAATGGGTCTACATTCATGTAAAATCTACACAGAGGCACTCTCAGTAAACTACTTTGTGAGATCTGCATTCAAGTCACAGAGTTCAACATTCCCTTTCGTAGATCTGGTTTGATAGACTCTTTTTGTTGTATCTGGAAGTGGACATTTGGAGCGCTTTGACGACTTTGGTGAAAAAGGAAATATCTTCCCATAAAAACTAGACAGAGGCATTCTCAGAAACTTCTTCATGATGTGCGTCCTCAACTAACAGAGTACAACCTGTCTTTTGATACATCAGTTTGGAAACACTCTTTTTGTAGAATCTGGAAGTGGATATTTCGATAGCTCTAACGATTTCGTTGGAAACGGGAATAGCTTCATATAAAATCTAGGCAGAAGCATTCTCACAAACTGGTTTGTGATGTATGTCCTCAACTAACAGAGTTGAACCTTTCTATTTACAGAGCAATTTTCAAAGACTCTTTTTGGAGAATCTGCAAGTGGATATCTGGAGATCTTTTAGGATTTCATTGGAAACCGGAATATCTTCAGGTAAAATCTAGACAGAAACATTCTCCGAAACTCCTTTGTAATGTCTGCATTCACGTCACAGAGTTGAACATTCCCTTTCATAGAGCAGGTTTGAAACACTCTTTCTGAAGTATCTGGATGTCGACACTTGGAGCGCTTTGACGCTTACACTGAAAAAGGAAATAACTTCCCATGAAAACTAGACAGAAGCATTCGCAGAAACTTGTTTGTGATGTGTGTCCTCAACCAACAGAGTTGAACATTTCCTGTGACAGAGCAGTTTGGAAACACGCTTTTTGTAGAATCTGCAATTGGATATTTGGATAGCTTTGTGGATGTCGTTGGAAACGGGAGTATCTTCATATAAAACCTAGACGGAAACATTCTCAGAAGCTTCTTTGTGATGTTTGCTTCTAAGTCACAGGGTTGAACATTCCCTTTCATACAGCAGGTTTGAAACACTCTTTCTGTAGTATCTGGAAGTGGACATTTCGAGCGCTTTCAGGCCCATGGTGAAAAAGGAAATATCTCCCCATAAAAACTAGACAGAAGCACTCTCAGAAACTACATTGTGATATCTGTATTCAAGTCACAGAGTTGAATATTCCCTTTCTTAGAGCAGGTTTGAAACCGTCTTTTCGTGGAAGCTGCAGGAGGATATTTGGATAGCTTTGAGGATTTCGTTGGAAACGGGATTACATATACAAAGTAGACAGCAGCATTCTCAGAAACTTCTTTGTGATGTGTGTCCTCAACTAACAGAGTTCAACCTCTCGTATAATACAGCAGTTTGAAAAAACACTTTTTGTAGAATATGCAAGTGGATATTTGAACAGCTCTAACTATTTCGTTCGAAATGGGAATATCTTCATATAAAATCTAGACAGAAGCATTCTCAGAAACTTCTTTGTGATGTTTGCTTTTAAGTCACAGAGTTCAATATTCCCTTCCATAGAGCCGGTTTGAAACACTTTTTTTGTAGTATCTGGAAGTGGACATTTCGAGCGATTTCAGGCCTATGTTGAAAAAGGAAACATCTTCCCATAAAAAAAGACAGAAGCATTCTAAGAGAATTCTTTGGGATATAAGTACTCAACTAACAGAGTTGAACCTTTCTATTTATAGATCAGTCTTGAAAAGCTCTTTTCGTGGAATCTGCAAGTGAATCTTAGGATAGCTCTGAGGATTTCGTTGGAAATCGGATTACATATAAAAAGTAGACAGCGGCATTCTCAGAAACTTCTTTGTGATGTGTGTCCTCAACTAACAGAGTTCAGCCTTTGTTATGATACAGCAGTTTGGAAACACTCTTTTTGTACTATCAGGAAGTGGACTTTTGGAGCGCTTTGACACCTTTGGTGATAAAGAGATGTCTTCCCATAAAAACCAGACGGAAGCATTCTCAAAAACTAGTTTGTGATGTATTTCCTCAACTAACAGAGTTGAACCTTTCTATTTACAGAGTAGTTTTGAAAGACTCTTTTTGGAGAATCTGCAAGTGGATATTTGGAGAGCTTTAAGGATTTCATTGTAAACCGGAATATCTTCAGGTAAAATCTAGACAGAAACATTCTCAGAAACTGCTTTGTGATGTCTGTATTCACGTCACAGAGTTGAATATTTCCTTTCATAGAGCAGGTTTGAAACACTCTTTCTGTAGTATCTGGATGTGGACACTTGGAGCGCTTTGAGGCTTACGGTGCAAAAGGAAATATCTTCCAATGAAAACTAGACAGAAGCATTCGCAGAAACTTGTTTGTGATGTGTGTCCTCAACTCACAGAGTTGAACATTTCGTTTGACAGAGCAGTTTGGAAACACGCTTTTTGTAGAATCTGCAAGTGGATATTTGGATAGCTTTGTGGATTTCCTTGGAAACGGGAGTATCTTCATATAAAACCTAGAAAGAAGCATTCTCAGAAGCTTCTTTGTGATGTTTGCTTTTAAGTCACAGAGTTGAACATTCCCTTTCATAGAGCAGTTTTGAAACACTCTTTCTGTAGTATCTGGAAGTGGACATTTCGAGTGCTTTCCGAACTATCGTGAAAAAGGAAATATCTTCCGATAAAAACTAGACAGAAGCACTCTCAGAAACTACATTCTAATATCTGCATTCAAGTCACAGAGTTGAATATTCCCTTTCTTAGAGCAGGTTTGAAACCGTCTTTTCGTGGAATGTGCAGGAGGATATTTGGATAGCTTTGAGGATTTCGTTGGAAAAGGGATTACATATACAAAGTAGAAAGCAGCATTCTCAGAAATTTCTTTGTGATGTGTGTCCTCAACTAACACAGTTCAAACTGTCTTATGATACAGCAGTTTGGAAACACTCCTTTTGTAGAATATGCAAGTGGATACTTGGATAGCTCTAACTATTTCGTTGGAAACGGGAATATCATCATATAAAATCTAGACACAAGCATTCTCAGAAGCTTCTTTGTGATGTTTGCTTTTAAGTCACAGAGTTGAATATTCCCTTCCATAGAGCAGGATTGAAACACTCTTTCTGTAGTATCCGGAAGTGGACATTTCGGGTGATTTCAGTCCTATGTTGAAAAAGGAAATATCATCCCATAAAAACTAGACAGAAGCATTCTCAGAAACTTCTTTGGGATATATGTACTCAACTAACAGAGTTGAACCTTTCTATTTCTGGGTCAGTTTTGAGAAGCTCTTTTTCTGTAATCTGCAAGTGGATATTCGGATAGCTCTGAGGATTTCCTTGGAAATGGGATTTCATATAAAATGTAGACAGCAGCATTCTCAGAAACTTGTTTGTGCTGTGTGTACTCAACTGACAGAGCTGAACTTTTCTTTCTACACAGCAGTTTTGAAAAACTCTTTTTGTAGTATCTGCAAGTGGATAATTGGATGGCTTTAAGGATTTCGTTGGAAATGGGTCTACATTCATGTAAAATCTACACAGAGGCACTCTCAGAAACTACTTTGTGAGATCTGCATTCAAGTCACAGAGTTCAACATTCCCTTTCGTAGATCTGGTTTGATAGACTCTTTTTGTTGTATCTGGAAGTGGACATTTGGAGCGCTTTGACGACTTTGGTGAAAAAGGAAATATCTTCCCATAAAAACTAGACAGAGGCATTCTCAGAAACTTCTTCATGATGTGCGTCCTCAACTAACAGAGTACAACCTGTCTTTTGATACATCAGTTTGGAAACACTCTTTTTGTAGAATCTGGAAGTGGATATTTCGATAGCTCTAACGATTTCGTTGGAAACGGGAATAGCTTCATATAAAATCTAGGCAGAAGCATTCTCACAAACTGGTTTGTGATGTATGTCCTCAACTAACAGAGTTGAACCTTTCTATTTACAGAGCAATTTTCAAAGACTCTTTTTGGAGAATCTGCAAGTGGATATCTGGAGATCTTTTAGGATTTCATTGGAAACCGGAATATCTTCAGGTAAAATCTAGACAGAAACATTCTCCGAAACTCCTTTGTAATGTCTGCATTCACGTCACAGAGTTGAACATTCCCTTTCATAGAGCAGGTTTGAAACACTCTTTCTGAAGTATCTGGATGTCGACACTTGGAGCGCTTTGACGCTTACACTGAAAAAGGAAATAACTTCCCATGAAAACTAGACAGAAGCATTCGCAGAAACTTGTTTGTGATGTGTGTCCTCAACCAACAGAGTTGAACATTTCCTGTGACAGAGCAGTTTGGAAACACGCTTTTTGTAGAATCTGCAATTGGATATTTGGATAGCTTTGTGGATGTCGTTGGAAACGGGAGTATCTTCATATAAAACCTAGACGGAAACATTCTCAGAAGCTTCTTTGTGATGTTTGCTTCTAAGTCACAGAGTTGAACATTCCCTTTCATACAGCAGGTTTGAAACACTCTTTCTGTAGTATCTGGAAGTGGACATTTCGAGCGCTTTCAGGCCCATGGTGAAAAAGGAAATATCTCCCCATAAAAACTAGACAGAAGCACTCTCAGAAACTACATTGTGATATCTGTATTCAAGTCACAGAGTTGAATATTCCCTTTCTTAGAGCAGGTTTGAAACCGTCTTTTCGTGGAAGCTGCAGGAGGATATTTGGATAGCTTTGAGGATTTCGTTGGAAACGGGATTACATATACAAAGTAGACAGCAGCATTCTCAGAAACTTCTTTGTGATGTGTGTCCTCAACTAACAGAGTTCAACCTCTCGTATAATACAGCAGTTTGAAAAAACACTTTTTGTAGAATATGCAAGTGGATATTTGAACAGCTCTAACTATTTCGTTCGAAATGGGAATATCTTCATATAAAATCTAGACAGAAGCATTCTCAGAAACTTCTTTGTGATGTTTGCTTTTAAGTCACAGAGTTCAATATTCCCTTCCATAGAGCCGGTTTGAAACACTTTTTTTGTAGTATCTGGAAGTGGACATTTCGAGCGATTTCAGGCCTATGTTGAAAAAGGAAACATCTTCCCATAAAAACAAGACAGAAGCATTCTAAGAGAATTCTTTGGGATATACGTACTCAACTAACAGAGTTGAACCTTTCTATTTATAGATCAGTCTTGAAAAGCTCTTTTCGTGGAATCTGCAAGTGAATCTTAGGATAGCTCTGAGGATTGCGTTGGAAACGGGATTACATATAAAAAGTAGACAGCACCCCACCACATTCCCCAGAGTGTGACATTCCCCTTCCTGTGTCCATGTGATCTCATTGTTCAATTCCCACCTATAAGTGAGAATATGCGGTGTTTCGTTTTTTGTTCTTGCGATAGTTTACTGAGAATGATATTTTCCAATTTCATCCATGTCCCTACAAATGATATGAACACATCATTTTTTATGGCTGCATAGTATTCCATGGTGTATATGGGCCACATTTCCTTAATCCAGTCTATCATTGTTGGACATTTGGGCTGGTTCCAAGTCTTTGCTATTGTGAATAGTGCCGCAATAAACATACGTGTGCATGTGTCTTTATAGCACCATGATTTATAGTCCTTTGGGTATATACCCAGTAATGGGATGGCTGGGTCAAATGGTATTTCTAGTTCTAGATCCCTGAGGAATCGCCACACTGACTTCCACAATGGTTGAACTACTTTACAATCCCAGAAACACTCTTTCTGTAGTATCTTGATGTGGACACTTGGAGCGCTTTGATGCTTACGGTGAAAAAGGAAGTATCTTCCCATAAAAACTACACAGAAG
>NC_000018.10:20850825-20861206 GCF_000001405.40 Homo sapiens
AGCATTCTCAAAAACTAGTTTGTGATGTATTTCCTCAACTAACAGAGTTGAACCTTTCTATTTACAGAGTAGTTTTGAAAGACTCTTTTTGGAGAATCTGCAAGTGGATATTTGGAGAGCTTTAAGGATTTCATTGTAAACCGGAATATCTTCAGGTAAAATCTAGACAGAAACATTCTCAGAAACTGCTTTGTGATGTCTGTATTCACGTCACAGAGTTGAATATTTCCTTTCATAGAGCAGGTTTGAAACACTCTTTCTGTAGTATCTGGATGTGGACACTTGGAGCGCTTTGAGGCTTACGGTGCAAAAGGAAATATCTTCCAATGAAAACTAGACAGAAGCATTCGCAGAAACTTGTTTGTGATGTGTGTCCTCAACTCACAGAGTTGAACATTTCGTTTGACAGAGCAGTTTGGAAACACGCTTTTTGTAGAATCTGCAAGTGGATATTTGGATAGCTTTGTGGATTTCCTTGGAAACGGGAGTATCTTCATATAAAACCTAGAAAGAAGCATTCTCAGAAGCTTCTTTGTGATGTTTGCTTTTAAGTCACAGAGTTGAACATTCCCTTTCATAGAGCAGTTTTGAAACACTCTTTCTGTAGTATCTGGAAGTGGACATTTCGAGTGCTTTCCGAACTATCGTGAAAAAGGAAATATCTTCCGATAAAAACTAGACAGAAGCACTCTCAGAAACTACATTCTAATATCTGCATTCAAGTCACAGAGTTGAATATTCCCTTTCTTAGAGCAGGTTTGAAACCGTCTTTTCGTGGAATGTGCAGGAGGATATTTGGATAGCTTTGAGGATTTCGTTGGAAAAGGGATTACATATACAAAGTAGAAAGCAGCATTCTCAGAAATTTCTTTGTGATGTGTGTCCTCAACTAACAGAGTTCAAACTGTCTTATGATACAGCAGTTTGGAAACACTCCTTTTGTAGAATATGCAAGTGGATACTTGGATAGCTCTAACTATTTCGTTGGAAACGGGAATATCATCATATAAAATCTAGACACAAGCATTCTCAGAAGCTTCTTTGTGATGTTTGCTTTTAAGTCACAGAGTTGAATATTCCCTTCCATAGAGCAGGATTGAAACACTCTTTCTGTAGTATCCGGAAGTGGACATTTCGGGTGATTTCAGTCCTATGTTGAAAAAGGAAATATCATCCCATAAAAACTAGACAGAAGCATTCTCAGAAACTTCTTTGGGATATATGTACTCAACTAACAGAGTTGAACCTTTCTATTTCTGGGTCAGTTTTGAGAAGCTCTTTTTCTGTAATCTGCAAGTGGATATTCGGATAGCTCTGAGGATTTCCTTGGAAATGGGATTTCATATAAAATGTAGACAGCAGCATTCTCAGAAACTTGTTTGTGTTGTGTGTACTCATCTGACAGAGTTGAACGTTTCTTTTTACACAGCAGTTTTGAAACACTCTTTTTGTAGAATCTGCAAGTGGATAATTGGATGACTTTAAGGATTTCGTTGGAAACGGGACTATATTCATGTAAAATCTACACAGAGGCACTCTCAGAAACTAATTTTGTGAGATCTGCATTCAAGTCACAGAGTTGAACATTCCCTCTCGTAGATCTGGTTTGAAACACTCTTTTTTTGTATCTGGAAGTGGATCTTTGGAGCTCTTTGACGACTTTGGTGAAAAAGGAAATATGTCCCCATAAAAACTACACCAAGGCATTCTCAGAAACTTCTTCGTGATGTGCGTCCTCAACTAACAGAGTACAACCTGTCTTTTGATACATCAGTTTGGAAACACTCTTTTTGTAGAATCTGGAAGTGGATATTTCGATAGCTCTAACGATTTTGTTGAAAACGGGAATAGCTTCATATAAAATCTAGGCAGAAGCATTCTCACAAACTGGTTTGTGATGTATGTCCTCAACTAACAGAGTTGAACCTTTCTATTTACAGAGCAATTTTCAAAGACTCTTTTTGGAGAATCTGCAAGTGGATATCTGGAGATCTTTTAGGATTTCATTGGAAACCGGAATATCTTCAGGTAAAATCTAGACAGAAACATTCTCCGAAACTCCTTTGTAATGTCTGCATTCACGTCACAGAGTTGAACATTCCCTTTCATAGAGCAGGTTTGAAACACTCTTTCTGAAGTATCTGGATGTCGACACTTGGAGCGCTTTGACGCTTACACTGAAAAAGGAAATAACTTCCCATGAAAACTAGACAGAAGCATTCGCAGAAACTTGTTTGTGATGTGTGTCCTCAACCAACAGAGTTGAACATTTCCTGTGACAGAGCAGTTTGGAAACACGCTTTTTGTAGAATCTGCAATTGGATATTTGGATAGCTTTGTGGATGTCGTTGGAAACGGGAGTATCTTCATATAAAACCTAGACGGAAACATTCTCAGAAGCTTCTTTGTGATGTTTGCTTCTAAGTCACAGAGTTGAACATTCCCTTTCATACAGCAGGTTTGAAACACTCTTTCTGTAGTATCTGGAAGTGGACATTTCGAGCGCTTTCAGGCCCATGGTGAAAAAGGAAATATCTCCCCATAAAAACTAGACAGAAGCACTCTCAGAAACTACATTGTGATATCTGTATTCAAGTCACAGAGTTGAATATTCCCTTTCTTAGAGCAGGTTTGAAACCGTCTTTTCGTGGAAGCTGCAGGAGGATATTTGGATAGCTTTGAGGATTTCGTTGGAAACGGGATTACATATACAAAGTAGACAGCAGCATTCTCAGAAACTTCTTTGTGATGTGTGTCCTCAACTAACAGAGTTCAACCTCTCGTATAATACAGCAGTTTGAAAAAACACTTTTTGTAGAATATGCAAGTGGATATTTGAACAGCTCTAACTATTTCGTTCGAAATGGGAATATCTTCATATAAAATCTAGACAGAAGCATTCTAAGAATCTTCTTTGTGATGTTTGCTTTTAAGTCACAGAGTTCAACATTCCCTTCCATAGAGCCGGTTTGAAACCCTTTTTTTGTAGTATCTGGAAGTGGACATTTCGAGCACTTTCAGGCCTATGGTGAAAAAGGAAATATCTTCCCATAAAAGCAATACAGAAGCATTCTAAGAAAATTCTTTGGTATATATGTACTCAACTAACAGAGTTGAACCTTTCTATTTATAGATCAGTCTTGAAAAGCTCTTTTCGTGGAATCTGCAAGTGAATCTTAGGATAGCTCTGAGGATTTCGTTGGAAAGGGTATTACATATAAAAGTAGACAGCGGCATTCTCAGAAACTTCTATGTGATGTGTGTCCTCAACTAACAGAGTTCAGCCTTTGTTATGATACAGCAGTTTGGAAACACTCTTTTTGTACTATCAGGAAGTGGACTTTTGGAGCGCTTTGACACCTTTAGTGATAAAGAAATGTCTTCCCATAAAAACACGATGGAAGCATTCTCACAAACTGGTTTGTGATGTATGTCCTCAACTAAGAGGGTTGTACCTTTCTATTTACAGAGCAGTTTTGAAAGACTCTATTGGAGAATCTGCAAGTGTATATTTGGAAAGCTTTAAGGATTTCATTGGAAACCGGAATATCTTCAGGTAAAATCTAGACAGAAGCATTCAAAGAAACTGCTTTGTGATGTGTGCATTCACGTCACAGAGTTGAACATTCGCTTTCATAGAGCAGGTTTGAAAGACTCTTTCTGTAGTATCTGGATGTGGACACTTGGAGCGCTTTGACGCTTACGGTGAAAAAGGAAATATCTTCCCATAAAAACTAGACAGAAGCATTCGCAGAAACTTGTTTGTGATGTGTGTCCTCAACTCACAGAGTTGAACATTTCGTTTGACAGAGCAGTTTGGAAACACGCTTTTTGTAGAATCTGCAAGTGGATATTTGGATAGCTTTGTGGATTTCCTTGGAAACGGGAGTATCTTCATATAAAACCTAGAAAGAAGCATTCTCAGAAGCTTCTTTGTGATGTTTGCTTTTAAGTCACAGAGTTGAACATTCCCTTTCATAGAGCAGTTTTGAAACACTCTTTCTGTAGTATCTGGAAGTGGACATTTCGAGTGCTTTCCGAACTATCGTGAAAAAGGAAATATCTTCCGATAAAAACTAGACAGAAGCACTCTCAGAAACTACATTCTAATATCTGCATTCAAGTCACAGAGTTGAATATTCCCTTTCTTAGAGCAGGTTTGAAACCGTCTTTTCGTGGAATGTGCAGGAGGATATTTGGATAGCTTTGAGGATTTCGTTGGAAAAGGGATTACATATACAAAGTAGAAAGCAGCATTCTCAGAAATTTCTTTGTGATGTGTGTCCTCAACTAACAGAGTTCAAACTGTCTTATGATACAGCAGTTTGGAAACACTCCTTTTGTAGAATATGCAAGTGGATACTTGGATAGCTCTAACTATTTCGTTGGAAACGGGAATATCATCATATAAAATCTAGACACAAGCATTCTCAGAAGCTTCTTTGTGATGTTTGCTTTTAAGTCACAGAGTTGAATATTCCCTTCCATAGAGCAGGATTGAAACACTCTTTCTGTAGTATCCGGAAGTGGACATTTCGGGTGATTTCAGTCCTATGTTGAAAAAGGAAATATCATCCCATAAAAACTAGACAGAAGCATTCTCAGAAACTTCTTTGGGATATATGTACTCAACTAACAGAGTTGAACCTTTCTATTTCTGGGTCAGTTTTGAGAAGCTCTTTTTCTGTAATCTGCAAGTGGATATTCGGATAGCTCTGAGGATTTCCTTGGAAATGGGATTTCATATAAAATGTAGACAGCAGCATTCTCAGAAACTTGTTTGTGCTGTGTGTACTCAACTGACAGAGCTGAACTTTTCTTTCTACACAGCAGTTTTGAAAAACTCTTTTTGTAGTATCTGCAAGTGGATAATTGGATGGCTTTAAGGATTTCGTTGGAAATGGGTCTACATTCATGTAAAATCTACACAGAGGCACTCTCAGTAAACTACTTTGTGAGATCTGCATTCAAGTCACAGAGTTCAACATTCCCTTTCGTAGATCTGGTTTGATAGACTCTTTTTGTTGTATCTGGAAGTGGACATTTGGAGCGCTTTGACGACTTTGGTGAAAAAGGAAATATCTTCCCATAAAAACTAGACAGAAGCATTCTCAGAAACTGCTTTGTGATGTGAGTCCTCAAGTAACACAGTACAACCTGTCTTTTGATACAGCAGTTTGGAAACACTCTGTCTGTAGAATCTGCAAGTGGATATTTGGATAGCTCAAGCTATTTCGTTGGAAACGGGAATAGCTTCATATAAACTCTAGAGAAAAGCATTCTCACAAACTGGTTTGTGATGTATGTCCTCAACTAACAGAGTTGAACCTTTCTATTTACAGAGCAATTTTCAAAGACTCTTTTTGGAGAATCTGCAAGTGGATATCTGGAGATCTTTTAGGATTTCATTGGAAACCGGAATATCTTCAGGTAAAATCTAGACAGAAACATTCTCCGAAACTCCTTTGTAATGTCTGCATTCACGTCACAGAGTTGAACATTCCCTTTCATAGAGCAGGTTTGAAACACTCTTTCTGAAGTATCTGGATGTCGACACTTGGAGCGCTTTGACGCTTACACTGAAAAAGGAAATAACTTCCCATGAAAACTAGACAGAAGCATTCGCAGAAACTTGTTTGTGATGTGTGTCCTCAACCAACAGAGTTGAACATTTCCTGTGACAGAGCAGTTTGGAAACACGCTTTTTGTAGAATCTGCAATTGGATATTTGGATAGCTTTGTGGATGTCGTTGGAAACGGGAGTATCTTCATATAAAACCTAGACGGAAACATTCTCAGAAGCTTCTTTGTGATGTTTGCTTCTAAGTCACAGAGTTGAACATTCCCTTTCATACAGCAGGTTTGAAACACTCTTTCTGTAGTATCTGGAAGTGGACATTTCGAGCGCTTTCAGGCCCATGGTGAAAAAGGAAATATCTCCCCATAAAAACTAGACAGAAGCACCATCAGAAAATACATTTTGATATCTGTATTCAAGTCACGGAGTTGAATATTCCCTTTCTTAGAGCAGGTTTGAAACCATCTTTTCGTGGAATCTGCAGGAGGCTATTTGGATAGCTTTGAGGATTTCGTTGGAAACGGGATTACATATACAAAGTAGACAGCAAGCATTCTCAGAAACTGCTTTGTGATGTGAGTCCTCAAGTAACACAGTACAACCTGTCTTTTGATACAGCAGTTTGGAAACACTCTGTCTGTAGAATCTGCAAGTGGATATTTGGATAGCTCAAGCTATTTCGTTGGAAACGGGAATAGCTTCATATAAACTCTAGAGAAAAGCATTCTCACAAACTGGTTTGTGATGTATGTCCTCAACTAACAGAGTTGAACCTTTCTATTTACAGAGCAATTTTCAAAGACTCTTTTTGGAGAATCTGCAAGTGGATATCTGGAGATCTTTTAGGATTTCATTGGAAACCGGAATATCTTCAGGTAAAATCTAGACAGAAACATTCTCCGAAACTCCTTTGTAATGTCTGCATTCACGTCACAGAGTTGAACATTCCCTTTCATAGAGCAGGTTTGAAACACTCTTTCTGAAGTATCTGGATGTCGACACTTGGAGCGCTTTGACGCTTACACTGAAAAAGGAAATAACTTCCCATGAAAACTAGACAGAAGCATTCGCAGAAACTTGTTTGTGATGTGTGTCCTCAACCAACAGAGTTGAACATTTCCTGTGACAGAGCAGTTTGGAAACACGCTTTTTGTAGAATCTGCAATTGGATATTTGGATAGCTTTGTGGATGTCGTTGGAAACGGGAGTATCTTCATATAAAACCTAGACGGAAGCATTCTCAGAAGCTTCTTTGTGATGTTTGCTTTTAAGTCACAGAGTTGAACATTCCCTTTCATAGAGCAGGTTTCAAACACTCTTTCTGTAATATCTGGAAGTGGCCATTTCGAGCGCTTTCAGGCCTATGGTGAACAAGGGAAATATCTTCCCATAAAAACTAAACAGAAGCACTCTCAGAAACTACATTGTGATACCTGCATTCAAGTCACAGAGTTGAATATTCCCTTTCTTAGAGCAGGTTTGAAACCGTCTTTTCGTGGAATCTGCAGGGGGATATTTGGATAGCTTTGAGGATTTCGCTGGAAACGGGATTACATGTACAAAGTAGACAGCGGCATTCTCAGAAACTTCTTTGTGATGTGTGTCCTCAAGTAACAGAGTACAACCTGTCGTTTGATACAGCAGTTTGGAAACACTCTTTCTGTAGAATCTGCAAGTGGATAGTTGGATAGCTCAAGCTATTTCGTTGGAAACGGGAATATCTTCATATAAACTCTAGACAGAAGCATTCTCACAAACTGGTTTGTGATGTATGTCCTCAACTAAGAGGGTTGTACCTTTCTATTTACAGAGCAGTTTTGAAAGACTCTATTGGAGAATCTGCAAGTGTATATTTGGAAAGCTTTAAGGATTTCATTGGAAACCGGAATATCTTCAGGTAAAATCTAGACAGAAACATTCTCAGAAACTGCTTTGTGATGTCTGTATTCACGTCACAGAGTTGAATATTTCCTTTCATAGAGCAGGTTTGAAACACTCTTTCTGTAGTACCTGGATGTGGACACTTGGAGCGCTTTGAGGCTTACGGTGCAAAAGGAAATATCTTCCAATGAAAACTAGACAGAAGCATTCGCAGAAACTTGTTTGTGATATGTATCCTCAACTATCAGAGTTGAACATTTCATTTGACAGAGCAGTTTGGAAACACGCTTTTTGTAGAATCTGCAAGTGGATATTTGGATAGCTTTGTGGATTTCCTTGGAAACGGGAGTATCTTCATATAAAACCTAGACAGAAGCATTCTCAGAAGCTTCTTTGTGATGTTTGCTTTTAAGTCACAGTGTTCAACATTCCCTTTCATAGAGCAGTTTTGAAACACTCTTTCTGTAGTATCTGGAAGTGGACATTTCGAGTGCTTTCAGGCCTATGGTGAAAAAGGAAATATCTTCCGATAAAAACTAGACAGAAGCACTCTCAGAAACTACATTCTAATATCTGCATTCAAGTCACAGAGTTGAATATTCCCTTTCTTAGAGCAGGTTTGAAACCGTCTTTTCGTGGAATGTGCAGGAGGATATTTGGATAGCTTTGAGGATTTCGTTGGAAAAGGGATTACATATACAAAGTAGAAAGCAGCATTCTCAGAAATTTCTTTGTGATGTGTGTCCTCAACTAACAGAGTTCAAACTGTCTTATGATACAGCAGTTTGGAAACACTCCTTTTGTAGAATATGCAAGTGGATACTTGGATAGCTCTAACTATTTCGTTGGAAACGGGAATATCATCATATAAAATCTAGACACAAGCTTTCTCAGAAGCTGCTTTGTGATGTTTGCTTTTAAGTCACAGAGTTGAACATTCCCTTTCATAGAGCAGGTTTCAAACACTCTTTCTCTAGTATATGGAAGAGGACATTTCGAGCGCTTTCAGGCCTATGGTGAACAAGGAAATATCTTCCCATACAAACTTGACAGAAGCACCATCAGAAAATACATTTTGATATCTGTATTCAAGTCACGGAGTTGAATATTCCCTTTCTTAGAGCAGGTTTGAAACCATCTTTTCGTGGAATCTGCAGGAGGCTATTTGGATAGCTTTGAGGATTTCGTTGGAAACGGGATTACATATACAAAGTAGACAGCAGCATTCTCAGAAACTGCTTTGTGATGTGAGTCCTCAAGTAACACAGTACAACCTGTCTTTTGATACAGCAGTTTGGAAACACTCTGTCTGTAGAATCTGCAAGTGGATATTTGGATAGCTCAAGCTATTTCGTTGGAAACGGGAATAGCTTCATATAAACTCTAGAGAAAAGCATTCTCACAAACTGGTTTGTGATGTATGTCCTCAACTAACAGAGTTGAACCTTTCTATTTACAGAGCAATTTTCAAAGACTCTTTTTGGAGAATCTGCAAGTGGATATCTGGAGATCTTTTAGGATTTCATTGGAAACCGGAATATCTTCAGGTAAAATCTAGACAGAAACATTCTCCGAAACTCCTTTGTAATGTCTGCATTCACGTCACAGAGTTGAACATTCCCTTTCATAGAGCAGGTTTGAAACACTCTTTCTGAAGTATCTGGATGTCGACACTTGGAGCGCTTTGACGCTTACACTGAAAAAGGAAATAACTTCCCATGAAAACTAGACAGAAGCATTCGCAGAAACTTGTTTGTGATGTGTGTCCTCAACCAACAGAGTTGAACATTTCCTGTGACAGAGCAGTTTGGAAACACGCTTTTTGTAGAATCTGCAATTGGATATTTGGATAGCTTTGTGGATGTCGTTGGAAACGGGAGTATCTTCATATAAAACCTAGACGGAAACATTCTCAGAAGCTTCTTTGTGATGTTTGCTTCTAAGTCACAGAGTTGAACATTCCCTTTCATACAGCAGGTTTGAAACACTCTTTCTGTAGTATCTGGAAGTGGACATTTCGAGCGCTTTCAGGCCCATGGTGAAAAAGGAAATATCTCCCCATAAAAACTAGACAGAAGCACTCTCAGAAACTACATTGTGATATCTGTATTCAAGTCACAGAGTTGAATATTCCCTTTCTTAGAGCAGGTTTGAAACCGTCTTTTCGTGGAAGCTGCAGGAGGATATTTGGATAGCTTTGAGGATTTCGTTGGAAACGGGATTACATATACAAAGTAGACAGCAGCATTCTCAGAAACTTCTTTGTGATGTGTGTCCTCAACTAACAGAGTTCAACCTCTCTTATAATACAGCAGTTTGAAAAAACACTTTTTGTAGAATATGCAAGTGGATATTTGAACAGCTCTAACTATTTCGTTCGAAATGGGAATATCTTCATATAAAATCTAGACAGAAGCATTCTCAGAAACTTCTTTGTGATGTTTGCTTTTAAGTCACAGAGTTCAATATTCCCTTCCATAGAGCCGGTTTGAAACACTTTTTTTGTAGTATCTGGAAGTGGACATTTCGAGCGATTTCAGGCCTATGTTGAAAAAGGAAACATCTTCCCATAAAAACAAGACAGAAGCATTCTAAGAGAATTCTTTGGGATATACGTACTCAACTAACAGAGTTGAACCTTTCTATTTATAGATCAGTCTTGAAAAGCTCTTTTCGTGGAATCTGCAAGTGAATCTTAGGATAGCTCTGAGGATTGCGTTGGAAACGGGATTACATATAAAAAGTAGACAGCGGCATTCTCAGAAACTTCTTTGTGATGTGTGTCCTCAACTAACAGAGTTCAGCCTTTGTTATGATACAGCAGTTTGGAAACACTCTTTTTCTACTATCAGGAAGTGGACTTCTGGAGCGCTTTGACACCTTTGGTGATAAAGAGATGTCTTCCCATAAAAACTAGACGGA